>NC_000006.12:118101093-118404123 GCF_000001405.40 Homo sapiens
CAGCAGCTCTATTTCTGTGCCAGGAAATTGTCTCACTGTCACAGAAAGGGGAAGAATTTTCTCCTGGCATTTCTGCAAATAATCAAGCACTATGTCAGAAAAGGTAACACTGGGGAAGAGAGTGTCTAAATTAGGAGGAAGCTAGAGAGCTCTGCATGGTGGAGGCTGCTGGTGAAAACCGCCCTAAAGTAATTTACAAGGAGTTCACAGGCAGACAAACCAAATACAATGTGGTCCTTGCCACAGGGAGGGAGTGAGGATCTGCTGTGTGAATTGAAGGCCACAGAACTCTGCCTTGTGAAGCTTTTATACACCCAACATGTAAATTACAGTGCTTGTGAATTGGGGTTGGTTCACATGTAAATGAGAAAATGCTTGAGTTAAGCAAGTCTGCCTCTGAAAAGAATGGATATCTAAGAACTGAAGACTGTACTTGCAAATAATAGGGATGGAGACAGAGCTGTTCTAATTCCAAGGGACTTCTAAAATGAAAAATAATGAGAAGTGGGATGGGAGAAGGGGAGGGTAAAACATCAGAAGAAGCAATCTTCCATGAAAATCTGCCTGTGTGCCATTAATGCTTGTCTTTCCAAATAAGAGCAAGCAAATGAGAAAAGAGCAAGGAGGTATAAATAAAGGGGTGGGCTCGAAGGGAAGCATGCTATGCATGGATGGAGCTTTTTATTTTAAAGGACTTGCTGTTATTAAAATATGTGCATTACATACTGTGTTTATAATTTACTCAAAACATGGGATTTCCTATTACACTCAAGCTCCCTTTTCTCTGAAATTGAAACCTCTCAAATCATATGAGTTTAATCAGGATTTCCAGTACAAAGGAAGAAGTGAAAGAATGCTTAATTTGGCCCAGGCATACGTCTGAGTACCCTGGATGTTTGCAAGATTGACTGGTTTTGCCTTCTCAGTGGCAAGCTTCCTTTACTCACTAACCACAGGGCTGGGAGAGCTGGAGTTTTATGATGGCCATGGCAGCTTTGAACTGCTGAGCCCCTTTCATCGGGTCTAATGCTGCTGATGTAAGCAACATAAACTGGCACACAATAACAATGTACAGGAAGGACTTTTTCCTTTTCCATTTAGTTATTTATAGACAGGGTCTCACTCTGTTACCCAGCCTGAAGTGCAGTGGTGCAATCATGTCTCACTGCTGCCTTGACCTCATGGGATCAAGCAATCTTCCCACCTCAGCCTCCCGAGTAGCTGGGACTACAAGCATGCACCGCCACACCCAGCTAAGTTTTAAATTTTTTTTAGAGACAGGTTCTTGCTGTGTTGCCCAACCTGATCTTGAACTTCTGGGCTCAAGTGATCCTTCCACCTTGGACTCCTTGGCTGGGATTATAGGCATAAGCCACTGTGACTGGCCCCATTTTTTTAAAGAAAAAACTGGATGCATATCTAGCTACAGCAACTAGCTGTGATTTTAATGTGACAGCCCTGGATGACAAGGGATTAAAAATGTCTGTGGATGCTAAGTGACAGTTTCACGTTGTGGCACAGCAGCTTTTGCTCTGAAATCAGCCTCAGATGGAGAGAAAGCAGCCACTGCTGTGCACCTCAGAAGCTCATCCGTGGGCTTTGAGGCTAAATTCCTCCTCTCCTCCCTGAGTTCTCCCATTTGTAGGTCTGTTTCCATCAGCTAGAGGCAAAACCAATGCTTTGCAGGAAGGAGGCTGTCTCCTTGAGAGGCAAGGGTCTCAATCCTGAAGGAAAGCTGTAAAGGAAGTGCCTATTTCAGACAGCCTGCTATGATATCATGAAGCTAGTGGAGTGGAAAGAACTGGGACCTTTGCATCTGCACAGATCTAGATTTGCACCCGTGTTTTGTGCTTAATAGTCTGGAGTAAGTATTGCATATCTCTGAGCCTCCCTTTACCCATCTGTAAAATTAGGGTAACCACCAGGTCTACCTTCCAAAGTTGTTTTGGGATCAAATAAGTCAACATTTCTATAGTTCCTGAAACACAGCAGGTGCCCCCTCCCAAGAATATGTTCAATATCAAGAACATATATTTCTAATGCAAAATTGAAGCAAGCAGTTGATTATCATCAACCTTAAAAGTTGATGGCTAATTTGTCTTATGAGCTGTCAACTTAGTGACCTCCTGCTTCGAGGATCCTATGATCCAACTGAGAACATTTATTTATTTTTTTAAATTTTATTATTATTATACTTCAAGTTTTAGGGTACATGTGCACAACGTGCAGGTTTGTTACATATGTATACATGTGCCATGTTGATGTGCTGCACCCATTAACTCGTCACTTAGCATTATTTGTTAATACACAAAGTGCCATTTGGCTCTCCTGCCCTGATGTCTGCCTGAGAAGAAGGCTGATTCTGTCTGTTTGTGGAGTGTGGGGAGCAGCCACTCCCACTGGATGTGCCCACCTGGGCCGCCAACTTCTGTGCCCAGGCCTGAGAAGCCTGACAGGGCACATTCCATCCACTTGCCGAACACACTGCCACAGAAATGGTAGGAGGCTGCTACATGGTGCGGAATGAATCCAAGAGTGTGTTTGCTGGTCTATGAAAATGCCAGCCAGAGCCCTATGAGTGGCTTGACTCTCCACCCTTTTCTTCCCCCTTGCAGGAAAGAGCGGACTTTTGAAAGGGTGGATTATGACCCAATAGATCTGGGTTTGCCTCGTTTACTGTTGCAGCTTTTCTAAACCCAGATGATTGTTCAGGCAACCTTGAAATGTTTTTTTTTCTGATCTCACATTTTAGTTTTCTGTCATTCAGTTCTGTGGCAGTTATTTTTAGCTAATAATGCCATCTAAAAAAAGTCTCAGAGTTTGCAGTAGGTTACTGTGTTTTATCAGCAGATGGCTTCTAGTAAACTTACACTTAAAAAGTAAACACATTGAAATGCTTCATATTCCTTCACAAGAATAACCATGTAGCATTTTAAATAGCAAGCACATGCATGCCAGCTCAGAAATATGCCAGGTTTTTCTTCTTCCTTCATTTCTTCCCTCCCCTTCCCTTCCCTTCCCTTCCCTTCCTTTCCCTTTCCTTCCCTTCCCCTCCCTATCTTCCTCTCTCCCACATTCCCTCTTTTCCTTCCTTTCTTTCCATTTTTAAGTACCTGTATTTAAATACTCCAATGGGCTACTTAGAGATTAAATTGTGTTTCCAGCATGGTTCAGAGGCTGTATAACATATCATTCTAGAATAAGTCTGAACAGGGCCAAATCTTGGCTTTACCATTTGTTAACTACAAGATCCTGAGCAAATTATTTAACCTCCCTAATTCTTAGTTGCAATGTCCATGAAATGCAAATAATAATATTGAGCTTATAAGATTCTTATGGATTTCAGATAATACATAAAGCACAGTGACAAACACAGTAAATGCTCAATAAATGTTAGCTATTTTCTTTATATACTTAGAGAAGATTTTGTAAGTTTTATTAATATTATTCTTGATAATTTTAAGGATTTCTCAAGTTCAGCCACTACAGAAGTTATATCATAACCAAATAAGTAAAAAGGGAGAAATAATGTGGCCCCTAATGTGATTTTTTAAAGTAAATAAAGGACTGATACATAATTCTGAACTCTCTCATCATCGTTATCTTGAAGATAGGAGCTGCAATGCTTTGGACCGGAGAATGTCACCCACCCACCATTTGGACCAGTGTACTTGCAAGTTAAAAAGACCTTGAGGCTAAATCTGCTTGTTCTCATCTCTCTGTCTAAACCCCATGGAGTAACTCCCTCCCTCCAAGTCCAGCCCCTCAGGTGTCTACTGTGACCATGATGTTCTCAGCACCTTGTCCTACACATGAGCCTTCTTGTTCCTTCTCTTCTGGACTCCTTCCACTGCACCCTCCAGAGCTGCTCCTTCACTCCTGTCTTTTCACAGCTTGTTCTTAAAGCCTTCCCTGTACTGCATCTGGGTTTCTCTTGAAGACACCATTTTCTTTTAGTCTTCTCAAAAAGTAGCTGAGTGTTACCTTGCATCTGTGGTTCCTCAGAGTGAGGTGGTAGATCTGTTACTCTGTTTGCTTGGTTGCATCTATGACCCAACCCCTTCTGTAGTGAACATGCCATTCACAGATACTATCCCTCCCTCTCCTTCTTGCTTGTTGTCTACTTCCCATTCCTGCTCATTCATTGAAGACTTTGGTAATTGGTTCACAAGCCTCATCTCGATCTTAAGTAAAGTTATAATGGATGGATTCAGTGTCCACACAGGCATTCAACATCCTGGGCCTTAGATCCTTCACTTGTTTATCTCTTCTTTCTTAATCTTTTATATTCCATACCAGAGACCTACTCTATGTCTACCCGGTGGACCTTGTTACCACCATCTCCAAAATAAATAATTCAAGCACCTTACATTCTGTCTGAAACCTTGTCTCATTTTAGTTTGCTTCACCACTCACACCGTGGTCATTCTTTGACATTTGTTTCTACTGCATCATTCCCTCCAATTCATTGATCTTTCTACGCATTGCCCAGGCATTTTTTAATAGCATCCTTATCTATTGCAGATTCCAAGGTTTCTTTTCTAATGGGACTGTTGCCAGTACCCCTAATTTCCTTCCATCTCTGTATTTTCATCACACTCTTCAGATAAAACAATTTTTCATTTCACACTTTTATGCTTAATGTGTGCCTGTTCCTGACCAGTGGAGTGCTCAAAAAGGAAAATGATACATCAAAGTAGATAGTATGATGACCTTATCCACTATCATACATCAAAGGAGATAGTATGATGACCTTATTCACGATCATACATCAAAGTAGATAGTATGATGACCTTATTCATGATCACCAACTTCAAAGGACCCTTAACATTACTTGGCAACTTTCCTGCTTTTTTCTAATCAGCTCATTGTCCCAGACTGCACAATAAATATTTCAGTGTTGCCAATCTTCTCAAATCTCAGTTATCCCTCTGTACCTGCCTCCCTGGACTTTGTAGACAAATTGGTAGTCATAGGAATGCGGTATCAAGCCTGCAACTAAGTATTGGTAATATAAAAGTTAGAAGCCTGAAAACCTATGACTGGTACCTGTCCTCTCCTCCTCACCTCCTGGTAGACTAGAAGAGCACACCCTCCTCATAACTAATAATGACCCCTCTTCCTAATCTTTGGATCCCATCCCTTCTGCTTTCTCTAGATTTTTAAACTATGAATTCTTTCTCTCTCATGTATACTCAATGTCTTTCTTTCAACAAGAACTCCTCAACTGCAAGAGAATTCTTTATTTCTCTCCCCATGTCCATCCAACAGTGCTTTCTCATTTTCCTGATGGCATCATTATTCACCCAGTTGATTATGACAAATTCCTCAAAGACAACCTTGTTTCTCTTTTTCTTACCCTGCCATGTACTCCATCAGCAAGACCTGTTGGCTCTACAGCCACTGCTAAGCTAAATCTGATCACTCCTCACCATTTCACTGTTACAGCTCTCTCACGTGTACTACAAGGTAGCTATCTAATAAGTCTTACTGGTTTAATTTTGTTTCTTTTGATCTCTTATAATCCATCTTTGCATAACAAAAAGACTACTGTTTAAAGTTTAAATGAGAACTTTCCATTCTCTCTGTTGAAAAGCCTATAATACATTTCTATTGTGATTAGAATAAAACTTCATGCCCTTTCTGTAACCAATAGGCTATGCCTCCAACTCAGATTTTATTTTCTCCCACTTCCTCTGGCTTTCACAATCACTGGCTCTCATTCAGCCCTTTGGACACACCACGTTGTGTGTTCCTGCTCAGATTGTCATCTGCTTTGGATGTTCTTACCTCATATTATTTTATGACTGGCTCCTTACTGAAATGTCACCTCCTCACAGAAGGCTTTTCTAGCCATTCTATATAAATAACATTCTACCCCCCAGCATCACTTTGTATAATTCTCTTTACAGCATTTATCATCAATAGAAACTAATGTTATTTGCTTATTACTTAATTCTGGTTTTCCCCAATGGATGGCAAGCTCAGTAAGGATAGGGATCTAGCCTGTCTTGTTTGTTGCCATCTCTGGTGCTTAGAATAGTGTCTGATACATGGTAGATGTACAAGAAATGTTGTTTAAATGAATGGATGCATACACAAAAAAACTGGATCCTTTTTATAAATGTTTAAAGCTGCTTAAGTCTGTGTCTTTTCAAAGGAAAAACAAAACAAAACAGCCCTACTTCCCTCTGTCCAATAACCCTTATCAGTTACTGCCTCATTTTCTCTTCTGAAACTCAAATTCTGTACTCTAACTTCCAAACTCTTTTCTCCCATTGTCCTTTGGACTGGATATTTACTCAATATCACCCTGAGTGACTACAGGGGGAACATATGCAGAATCTTCTTCTAGCTATTTGTTCCTCAAATAGAATACTGACAGATCTTATAACAACTCATATATTAGAAAAGATTTTCTCCATTGTCCAACAAACCTAGAAAAATGAACACTTAGCCTGTTGATATTGGGTATTTTTCCCTGGGACAATATTTTAGTTGGATCATATATGATAAGAATGGGACAGAAATGGAGATTAGACAATTTTTTCAAATAAAAAAGGCTATCAAAATAATACTGTCCACTTTTGAACTTGTGTGTAAGTTAGAAATGTATCTACACATATGGGCAACGGGTATGTGTGTGTGTCTGTGTGTGTGTGTGTGTCTATGTGAGATCAGAATTGTCTGTGTAGGAATGGTAATGAAGACAATAGTATGAATGGTGTTAGGGATCAAGGAAAAATTACAGACAATTTCAGGGTCAAACAAATCTCTAATCATTCCCTTAAATTAGAAGGAATTGTAGCTTGCCTTGAGTTTTATCAATAGGTGACCTTTCCTATTGGAACTGTGTGGCCTCTAGTTCCCACACAGCCCTAGCACAAGAAAACTTCAGATCCTACTCAGAGGTGCCATTCTGGGTTGAGGTGCTTTCTGAATCATTCCAAAAGAATGAACAGTGTCAAATTGGGGCATACGATCCATATAATTATTTGGAGATTGATAGTCTATGTCTACTGTACGTTGTAATTCTGTATAACTCAAATATTTGATTCACACACACACACACAAACTGTGTTTCCAAATAACAGAGAATTTGTTGTTTTGCGAGGCTGGTCCAGTAACTCTCTGGAACTTGATGTTTAACTGTACAGGTTTGCTAGTTCTATAATTTTCTTCTATAATTAAGTGTGAGGTGAGCTTTTATCATGGTCAAGTCTTGTTTATCACACTCATCATATTGATGCCAGTGCCTAAGCTACTTCTGGGTAAATTTTCTTAAGAATCTGAAGGAGTCACTGTGGATTTTTAAAATGGTGATTTATCATTGCTTTAGGCCCTGGAACAATCAGCCTGTATATCCATAGTTTCCTGGAATGGGGAAAGTCAGAAATTTCTTTAAGAAGCAAGAATCTTCAAAAATGTTAAAAGTACTAGGAGGTCTTGGTTTGCAGATACTTTTAAATATGCATGTATAGAAATGTCTTGGATGTATGATTAAATGAAAGGAAATTACTTGGAAATTTTTTCTCAAGAACAGTTGTTTCCCTGAAATACCTTATGTGTTGTTGCACAATGTTATTGCTAGAGTGTGGGTTGGGGAATTGTTTGGAGCTCAGTTATGCTGTGCTCTCCCCAGGTTGAAAACTTTCAATCAAATACTCCCCTTTAAATTTTTTTTCTTTATCAAACTGTAGATGAAGAAATGAGTTTAGCTTCTTATGTTACAGTGACATTTTATGGGTATGTTATTTTCTCACACTGGGAAAATTAAACTTCTCATAAAATTAAATTGCAATACTTATTGCTTTTCTTTGTTTTGAATTATTCTAAAGTCCTCTATGCCTGTGCTCCTTTGAAGGCATTTCTTCTGGGTAAATTATAACAGTTTCTAGTTGAAGAACTGGGAACACATAGTGAAAGCTAATGATGAAGAGTTTAGGAACAGATTAATTTAAAATGGAACTTCACATGTAGAAACAACTTTTGCCTTATTAGGGAATCATAGTAGAGGAAAGATGAAATTCAGGGAAAGCAGATGAGAAAAAGTAAGGCAAAGCGTTATCATAAAATCTGAATGTTTGAAGTAATTGGCTTTAAGAGGTTCACCTACTCAGAGAGGAAATGGGTGATGTAAACAGATGTGGAGCATATAGAAAAATGTAGGTGTCTAAAGGTTTATAATTATGCCAGCCCATTGGCCACAATCAAGGTGGCCAAGAATGGGAGTGACTTTGGCAATTCTAGCTCTCAGAATTCTGAAAGCATTGACCAATACCTCTAGAAAGTTTTTCCTTAATCACCCTTGCCTTTATTCTTTCCCATGCTGGAGATACAACCATCTGCTGCTCAAGGCTCAAGCATAAACTTCAGCTGATAACTATCTAGAAAAAAGCCACACCATTTTCTACATAGGCAAGCTCAAATTCAGCTTCAGTTGTATATGAGTTTATGTTATGCTCAAATTCAGCTTCAGTTGTATACGAAGGTTATGTTAGGAGTTCAACACCTAGCATTTAGAATGTAAGACCTTGGAGAATAAACAAACATTTGCTGGAAAAAAAAAAGCAACAGAAAAGGAACCTGAAAAAAACATTAAGAGACTGGTAGATCCAGCCTCTCACTGTCTGGCAGGACATCTCACAAACTATGCCAGACACACCAGGAGCTGGGCTCTCTAAGGCTTCTGAGAAAGGAGATTTCATGACCTGCTTAGTGACCCAGTGCAGTCAGTTAACAGGCTTCAGAAAACCCCTCTTTATGGCCAGCACTTACCTGTATCTTTAGTCTTTCATTCAGCGCATAATTATTAAGGGCTTTCCCTCTGTGAGGGACTATATTAGTTATTGGAGACACTTTGGAAACACAGCCACTGCTCTCATGGACCTAATGGGTCAAATGGAGGCAGCACCACAAACAAATGTACAGATACATCACGGTAAGTCTTACAAAGGAAAAGAGTCAGTGCTCTTAAAATGCTAGGTATTTGAGAGCAGCCTGTTTCCCATCTATGCCATGGATCTCTTGGTGGCTTTTATAAGAACCTCTGGTTTCAGGTCTGACGTGTAAAGGCTTGGAAGTCATTGCTCCCTTCCTCACAACAGCAACAACAAAAAGCTAAACAAACTGAAAATCAACAACCTTTACAGAGAATTGAGGTCACAGCAGAAAATGCTGCCCTGAAAAATGGAGAAATGGACAGCTATACACAGAGAACCAAAGCCTACGGGGAGCAGAGGCCCACAGCTAAAACCTGTATTGGTAGAAACAATAAACTGTAATTGACAAATTGCTGGAAGCTCAGGGAGAACTGACATGAGAATTAAAAAATATATCCAAAGGGGAGTGCAGTCTCTGGGGACAGAGGGCACTATTTGGGGAGTTTTATTTCCAGGAGCTCTAACAGTTTCTGCTAATTTTTTATTGAGAGCCAGACATAATGTATCAGACAAAAGAAAGTGAGATTGAGAGGCCTTTAAAGGAGGTCTTATACGTTTAGGAATTAGGTTATGCTTACCATTTGCTGGAGCTGTGGTGTCAGAGGCTGAAATATCCTCCAATGCCTTTGTTTTTGTCTCTCCTATTGTCTCTGAACATCCCTAGACATTCCTTAGATAGGATTTAAGGCTTGCAGTTCTTTCTTAGCTTTAATACTCTATTATTAGACAGCAGTCTTATGGATATACTAATAAGGTGTAACAGGGAGAAAGCATTCTATAGTCCTATGATTAGGTCTCAGTCTTTTGTAAGCCTGAATTGGGTATTTCCCTTCCCCCTTGTGGAAGGCAAGAGGGTGCTGAAGTTGGCTTTTTCCCTTCCTCCAGGGGTGTTGTTGGGCTTTGGTAAAACCCCAGGTGATTAGACTTTGGTACAACACTTTTCCTCCAGGGTAGGCCTTGTGAAGGAGAACAGAAAGCACTAAGTGTATTTTAAAATTATAATTTTCTCCTCCCCCATAGTAAGGAGTTTTTCTCCCATCTTCATAGTAAGAAACTGGGAGATAACTATAAAAGGTATATCATACATGTATGGGAATACCAGAGGGAAAAGAAAGACAAAAAGTAAGAGAACAAATTTTTGAAGTAATGATGGCTGAGTATTTTTCAAAATAAATGACAGATGCCAAACCAGAGATCAAGGAAGCTCAGAGAACCCCAAGCAAGTGAAATAACAAAAAATCTACACCCCTGTATATCATATTCACACTGCAGAAAACCAAAGACAAAGAAAATCTTGAGAGAAGTCAGAGGGGTTAGGAGAAGACATCTTACCTACAGAAGGGCAAAGATAATGATTATATTGCACTTCCCTTCAAAAACTATACAAGAAGAAAATAGAGGGAAGTATTTAAAAGTGTTGAAAGAGAAAAACTCCACCAACCTAAAATTCTATATCCAGTGAAGTTATCTCTTGAACGTGACAGAAACAAAGACTTTCTCAGACAAAGAAAAACAGAAAATTTGTTGACAATAGACCTGGCTTGCATAAAATATTAGAAGTTCTTCAGAGAGAAGGAAAATGATATAGATCAGAAACTCAGATCTACGTAAAGGAAGAGAAATAGAGACAAAATCAATGAATGTAAAATAAAATTTTGTTATTCTTAATTGATCTAACAGATAACAATGTATTTAAAAGAATAAGAGAAACAATATATTGGGTGATTAAGCTTATGAATAATTGAAATGAATTACAGCAATATTATATAGCATGGGAGGGAAAAACTAGGAACACTTTCTTATAAGGTACTTGTGTCAGAGGCATTGGAATCAGAGCGATTCCATCTTTAGTGAGGGCTAGGAATATGAGGCTGGGACTTGCTGGGCTGCATTCCCAGAAAGTTAGGCATTCCTAGCCTCTAGATGTTTATGGCTAAGGGAACAAATTAATAATGTTTTCTAAACAGACCCAGATTTGGGAGTGTCCAGATACCCCAATATCTTGAGAACAAAGGCCTTTCTTTCTTTCTTTCTTTTTCTTTATTTCTTTCTTTTCTTTTCTTTTCTTTTCTTTTCTTTTCTTTTCTTTTCTTTTCTTTTCTTTTCTTTTTTGAGACGGTGTCTTGTTCTGTCACCAGGCTGGAGTGCAGTGGCACGATCTCGGCTCACTGAAACCTCCACCTCCCAGGTTCAAGCAATCCTCCTGCCTCTGCCTCCCAAGTAGCTGGGATGAGAACAAAGGCATTTCTAATTTTGCTTTAAAGGTAATAATATTGATTCTTGCAAAGTATAGTAATTAAGAAAATTAATCTTTTCTCACAAACCCTTGTAGCAGAGTACATCTCCCCATGATCTTTTTAAATTCTCTATATACAAGCATTGTACCTAGGGTGGATATATTCCTCCTCTTACTCTCGGGAATGCCCTACTCTGTCTATGAAGCTGTTCTTTCTCCACTTTACTTTCTTAATAAACTTGCTTTTGCTTTGCACTGTGGGCTTACCCTGAATTCTTTCTTGTGTGAGATCCAAGAACCCTCTTTTGAGGTCTGCATCAGGACCCCTCTCCTGTAACACTTGCACTACCTGTGAAGCAGTATGGTGGAATTTGACAGTAAACTTGGATTAGTCATTAATGTATATTGCAAACTCTAGGACAACCACTAAAAATGTTTTAAAAAAATATAATTGATATACTAAGAGAGGAGAGGAAATAGAATAATGTAAAATGCTTAAAACCGAAGAAGCCAGAAAAAGAGTGGAAGACAACCAAAAAACAACCAACAAAGTCAACAAATAGAAAACACTTACAAATATGATCAATATCAATCCAGCTAACTCAATAATCCCTTTAAATATGAATGGTCTAAATATACCAATTAAAAGATGGAGACTGTCAGAATGAATTAAAAAACTAGTCCCATCTACAAGAAACCTACTTTAATTTTAAAGACAGACAATTTAAAAATAAAGGGATGCCGTAGAATGTACAACACCAAGAGTGAATTCTAATGTAAAATATGGACTTTGGATGACATTTAAAAAAATTTTTAATGTATTTTTATTTATTTCTAAAGATAAGGTCTTGCTCTGTCACCCAGGCTGGAGTGCAGTGTCATGAACATAGCTCACTGCAGCCTTGAACTCCTGGGCTCCAATGATCCACCTTAGCCTCCCAAGTAGCTGGGGCTGCAAGTGTGTGCCACCACACTGGGCTAATTTTTAAACTTTTTGTAGAGATAAGGTCTTGCTATGTTGCTCAGGCTGGTTTTAAACTCTTGACCTTAAGTGATCCTCTTGACCCAGCCTCCCAAAGTGCTGGGATTACAGGTGCGAGACCTCACCTAGCCAACTTTGGGCAATAATGATGTGTCAATGTAGGTTCACTGGTTATAATAAATGTACCACTCTGGTGGTGGATGTTGATAAGAGGAGGGGCTATCTATGTGTGGGGGCTGGGGTTAATTGAGATATTTCTGTACTTTCTATTCACTTTTGCTGTGAACCTCAAACTATTCTAGAAATGAAGTTTTTTAAGTAAGGAAATGGAGAAAGATATACCATGCTAACACTAATCAAAAGAAAGCTGGATCAACTATATTAATTTCAGGCAAAGCTGACTTCACAGCCAAGAAAATTGTAGTAACCTCTCAATATTATCTTTTCTAACTATACTTTCAGTTTCTTTAACTTTTCTTCCTGGGTTCTGTTTTCAAATATTAGCTATGTTTCTGACATTTCTCCCCAGCTTCTTATTTTAGAGCCCAGAATTAAAAATTAGTTGTCCAGTATGGTTTAATAATGTTGTGCTATTTTACTTATTTAAAAAGTGTATTGTCTGTCTTCTATTCTATGCCGAAGCTGTTAATATATTTGCAGTGCCAGTGTCATCTGTTAAATGATATATCTGCAATGTTCAATGACTTGTTTGGCTTCTACTCAGCATAATGTGATACATACACAATACTGCAATAATGGAGTAAAAATACTACCTCTAGCTAACTCAAATAAAGCCCTTCTATATGCATTGTATCATTTAGTTTTCACAAGAGATATATGCCAGTATTATCCCCATTGTACTGATGGGGAAACTACCTCTGAAAAGCTGCAGAACTCAGCCAAGCTTGCTAGTTTAAGTGACAGAATTGGGGCTTGAACTAGGCTGTGTTGGACTCCAGAGCCCAAACACTTAACCACTATACCTTACCTTTTTTCTTTATAAAGACTAAATTATCATCGCAATTATGTTTCATTTTCATTTTAGGCATGGGTTCATGTTCTTGGAATATTTTAGCTCCCAAGTGAATTACTCCTTTTATTTTCTTTTGATATCTTATATTTGGCATTGACTGTACTGTGTTCTTTAGCTTCACATCAAAGCTATTTAACCTCCTAACTCTTCTTCTAGTGGCTCAAACTCTCATTCCTTCTCCTATATTAACCAGTTAGTCTTTCCCCCACAGCTTTTAACTGGGACTACAGGGGCCCGCCACCACGCCCAGCTATTTTTTTTTTGTATTTTTAGTAAAGATGGGCTTTCCTCGTGTTAGCCAGGATGGTCTTGATCTCCTGACCTCGTGATCCACCCACCTTGGCCTCCCAAAGTGCTGGGATTACAGGCGTGAGCTACCGCGCCTGGCCAGATTCATTGACTTTTAAACTCACAGTTCTCTTTTAGAAACTCTTTCAACTCTTGCCTCAGATAATGCTGAGCATCAGTCAGCTGGTTTTATTGCCAGCATGGTTCTGCATTGATATAAAACAGGAACTAATAGTATTTACGATGTGCTACTTTTTCTGGCAGGTGCTTTGCTTATGTCTTCTAATCAAGCAATGGGTTGTAACTTGAAGTTCATTTCTATATAATTGCATCACACTGTGGGAATTAAGTTTTTAACCACTGAAAGGATAAAATGACTGTTCAGAGAAGCAGCATCTAGGATATCATTGCTTCTGTAAACTAGGATTATGTGTTTGTGCAATTAAGGAGGCTAGCCTTGACCTTAAGTGTCACCATCAAGATCGATCTCTATTGTATACAGAGACACAACTTTGTTTCAAACCTTGTGGCTGGTCCAGCAGAGTGTTCAGGTACAACTTTAGCTATAATTCCTCTTCCATGAGCTTGTCGAAGTGCCCCCAAGAAGACTGATTCATGCTTGGTGCATCAAAGCTAACCATCAACTATCTGCAGCAACAGGAGATGAAGGGAAGATTTGTAGAGGAAGAGAGGGTCCCTACTGCTGCTAGAAACAAGGTGCACTGACCACATAGCAGGCATGCACAGAGCACATGTTGGTTGACACCTGGAAGTAGAAGGGAAATAACAATACCAGCAAGGAGAAAGGTGAGGTGATGGAGGAATCAAGGACAGAGTGGTGGTTTTAATGATAACACTTTATTCTATTTATCCTAGAATAAAAATATGTGTTTTCTTAGTATTTTACAATACACACAACATTTAACATCAATTGTCTTTTGGGGGGTTTCCCACCAGATCTTAAGTCTCAGTGTTTTACAGCCACTGAAATGGCCAGCAGGGTGCATTCTTTGTGCCACACCAAGTATCCCTTTGAACCTGAGACTTACGCAGCTCTGTATATGCAGTTCAGTTAGTTCTTAATCTGACCTCTTAAATTTTCTTCTTGCATTTTACCCAGGTGCCACATAACTCTGGTAGCTTAATATGAAACTTGAACAAGTGACCCTCGTGCTGCCATCTGAGGCCTTATGTAAGAGTGAATACATGAGCAGAGCATTTGTTGACAAAATGACAGAATTGCACTCAGGTGAAAAAAATGATTATGGATTTATCATATCCAATATACATTTGGCTAAAGTTAGAAAAAGCGTTAATGTTAAAAAGTTAATATAGTTTGCCTGAAAAGAAAACATAAAACATCAACTTCCCTTCAATATGTGTTTCTTTTTTATTTGAAGATTTAATATAGATCTGTTCGAAGTCCATGGAAATTTTTACTTCCTCCTTGAAATAATTCAAATATGTGAGATAGACTTCAAATATGAGAGACAAACTTGGTGCCTTGATAAAAGAAGTATTTCAAACTGTCCTTTTGTATAGTGCCCCCAAGTGCTCCTTTCATACCAGGGCTCCCTGCCCGCAATAGGGAGAGGTAGTATAGGTAAGAGGTATGCCACTTTATAGAGTGGGAGAATGAGAATTGTGAAAGAGAGGCGACAAAAGAGAGCTGGCCTGCTACTCAACCATAAGTTATCGGCAGATTTGTTTAGGAAAGCATACCTAGAGAAGCAGATGACACAGAAATAGATTGCCTTCAAACTGACCATGCTTGCAAACCTTTGTAAAGTTTCCATGGGCACACAGAGTCTAGTTTGAAGATCCCTGGAGTATAGAATAAATGCAAGTGTGGTCAACGTTTTGCAACTTTGCAGTGAATAAAAATCTTGAGGGCATTCATAGGAATAAAGCCCATCTTCTGTGGACATTAAATGTGAATTGATTGAATGCAATGTCTAGGAGCCTACACAATATCCTCTCGTTTCCTTTCTCTCTGTCACTTTAGTTTTCCCTTTTCAAGTTGCCTTCTTTCTGTTGTTTTCAAAATCCATGTTCTTAAAGAAATTTAGAGAGGAGTTTCATTAGGCCCTGTTGATATCTTGTGATGCTCATCACTTTATTCTTATTTTATTTCTTTTCTTTGTGGCCAACTTCTCAAACTTGCTCAAACAAGCAGTCTATGACCACTAGCTCATTCCCTGTGCAGTCTAAATTTTGACCCATGACTTTGCTGAAACTGCAGATAGGAGACCATTAATGATTTAATCAAATAATAGAAGCTCAGTATTGAGTGACGCCTTGGAGATCAAGCAGCCTCACCCTCTTAGCCAATGCCGAGATAACATCTGTGACATTTGCACTCATGTGTATCCAACCCTTGGCTTTATTATTTCTAGTGCAATGAGGTGATTTCACAAGGCAGCATATTCTAATTTCATATAGTTGTAGATTTGAGAGGGTTTGACTTTGTACATATACAAACCCTGTAACTTGAACAAATGACTGTCATTCTGCCATCTGAGGCGTTATGTAGGCCCCACTCTTCTTTACCAAAATGAGATGGTCATTCTGAGACCTGCAGCAGTTGAGTGAGCAGTTAGTGATTTACACTTAACCGTACCAACACCCCTATTTGCATATATTGGATTTTAAATATTGTCAACCTTATCTGTACATGTATTTTCTAAAGAGTCTTACAAAGAACTCCTACTACATTTTCCTAAGTGAAGGAATACTCAATTTTGCAGAGCAGCTTGCTTCTCCAATGACAATGTGCTTATTGCTTATGGCATAGAACAAATGGAGAGGAAAAATAACAGAAATAGAGACTTGCAGCAACTGCATTCTGAAAACATAAATAGAAGGAAAATAAATGATATGTTTCCTGGGAGTAGTCTTCTGAAATTATCAGAGTTGATTTTTCTTGGGTCAATAATTTGGAGCCAAGTTTATCACTCTATAATAAATAGAGTAAGTTGACACAATAGTCCAGGGTAAAATTTTTAAAATTAGAGTATTATTCACATACAATAAATTTATCAATGTTAAATGTATGGTTTGATGAATTTGCATAATTATATACAATCATGCAACCACCACCAAAACCCAGATATGGAATATTTTCATCCCCCTAAAAAGATTCCTCATGCCACCTTGCAGTAAATCACTTCAGGTGCCCAGACTGAGGTAGCCCTAGATCTGCATCTGTCACTATAGTTTGACCTTTTCTAGAATGTTATATAAATGAAGTCACACACCGTGCATTCTCCTTGGGGTTTGACTTTTTTCACTTAGCATATTTTTTTGATTCATCCGTGTTGTTGTATGCATTACTATTTCATACCTTTTTATTGCTGAGTAGTGTTTCATGATACGAATATAGCACAATTTGCTTATCTAGTCACCTATTGAGGAAGATTCAATTCCTTGCAGTTTTTGGCTGTTATGAATAATGCCACTATGAACATTAACATATACAATTTTGTGTGGACATCTGTTTTCATTCCTATCTAGTAAACACCTAGTCATGGAAATTTGTGACTCACTTAGGAAATGTATGTGTAATTTTATAAAGTTTTCCTAAGTGTCAATACCATCTTGCATTTCCACCTGCAACATAGGAGAACTCCACTTGCTCTGAATCTTTGTTAATACTCACTGTCATCAGTCTTTATAACTTTAGCCATTCTAGTGGGGATACACTTAACACTGATAAATTTATTGTGTTTGAATAATACTTTAATTTTAAAAATTTTACCCTGGACTATTGTGTCAACTCATTCTATTTATCATAGAGTGATAAACTTGGCTCCAAATTATTGACCCTTGTTACCATGGAAAATCAGCTCTGATAGTTTCAGAAGCTTCCTCCCAGGAAACATGTCATTTCTTTTCCTTCTATTTATGTTTTCAGAATGCAGTTGGTACAAGTGTCTATTTCTGTTCTCATTGTAGTTTTAATTTGCATTTATCTGATGATTAGTGATATACAGCATCTTTTCACATGCTTCATGCCCATTTGTATATTTTGTGAGACATCTCTTCAGATCTTCTGTCTTTTTTTTAATCGAGTTGTCATTGAAACAGATTTTTAAAAGAATCCAGGAGTTGCTGAGTTCTCATGAACATTTTCATATGTGGTGAAACTAACAAATCTGGTGGGTAAACAGAGCAGAACTCATTTCAGGAAGGGACAGGGCTGGGAGCTAAGGAGCCTCTTTCCCAGTACAGCTGAATAGCACACTGCTGTGCACCCATGCACCACTGATTTATTGATACCCATGGTAAGATGTAAATGCAAACCTCTGAGATGAAAATAGCAGCTTCTAGGGATAGAGATGCTTTAGGTTTTTTGTTTGCTTGTTTGCTTTTTTTTTTTTTTTGCTACAGAGTTCAGACATGGATTCTTCTTGAACTAAAAATATAATAAACCATTGTTTTTAGACAGAAGTTCCTCCAAATTTGCTTAAGGTGGCATTAAACTTATGTTGAACTAAAGCTATGTGACTATAGATCTCAAAGCACAAAGTGGCTTAAAGTAAGATAAGTATTGCTCAGTGGTCATTCCTTCATATGTCTGAGGGGAAGCAATGGAGCATAAGTATTCTGCTTTTTAAAAATTTAAAATAGGATGCTTATATACCCAATGACGTAAAATAATTCAGCTGTAACAATGTTTTCTTATTTTAGATAGCTAAAGAGATGTATATATTATTGGCTAGTCTACAATAATGCTGTCTAGAACATGATAATTTTGTACCAAAAAGTAATTTTCACATGCTGTTTATTCAGCACCATTGTGTACATTTTGATGCACCCATGGGGATTACTCAACATAATCTCAGTCTTGACAGTTTACCTAAAATGTCTAGACAACATATAATATTAGCTGATTTTTACATGATGCAGTAATAACCGGCGCCCCCCCTCCACCCCGCTTTTTTTTTTGAGACGGAGTTTCACTCTTGTCGCCCAGGCTGGAGTGTAATGGCGTATTTCGGCTCACTGCAACCTCTGCCTTCTGGGTTCAAGCGATTCTCCTGCCTCAGCCTCCTGAGTAGCTGGGATTACAGGGGCCCACCACCATGCCCAGCTAATTTCTGTAGGCACACATTTTTTGAGAGACATCAAGGCCACTGTGGCTTCTCTTTTGTAGGCATCCAATTCAAATTACATAAATAACACATTTGGTACTTCTTAGCTTAATAAACTGAGTATACAACAGATGAAGAGATAAGAGATAAAATAAGTTGGGAAATCAAACATGATGAAAGTCTTTGTGAAAAGAATAAGGTCACATATCAAAAAGGATAATCTTTGACATGGAAACCAGAAGAGGCAGATGGCGTGAAAACAGCCACTTAAGACCATAGTTCAAAGAAAGACCACTCCAGCCCTTAGACTCAGGCTGGGTCATATAAGCCCCCAATTCAAGAGCATCTTTTTATTTATTCTGGGCTGATTTGACTACCAATATAAACACACAGATGGTTTCCCACCTTCTACAGTGCCTGGCCTGGAGTAGATAGTGGGTACAATTTGGCGAACTACATGGAAATTCCCAAAACCCAAAGAATTATATTCAGAGAAAAACTTTTTTTTTAATCCTTTATGTCTGATAGATAACAAGCAATGATACTACAAAGAGAGTTAGCTGAGACTAGGCTAATGCAGTCTGAGCTATCTGGATAATTCCTGAAAATCCATCCACCCACTTTTGCATGAATACCATGTCCTTAAGGGCCACATCAACTAACTGCCGTCTCATCACAAAGAATCACATTTAATTCATTCTAAGAGTAGATGAGAACATATGTTATTTTTAGAAATACATGTTGATGCATGCATACAGATGCAGGTTGATGCTTAAAATAACCTCAAAGATAGGGAATTCCCTTTATAGCTGTATATGTAAACTTAGGAGGGAAAGATTTGGTCATGTTACCCCCTACAACTTATCCACCCTTTTTTCATACAGTTTAGTCCCTGTGAACATGAATTTGTTGGTTTATGTTTTATGACTACATATAATTTCCACCTTTTCTCAAGATAATTCAAAATAATGAACAAGGGCTCAAACCACAAATTCATTATACATTAAAAGTAAAGACCTGAATGGACAAAAATTGATGATCGAGGGTGATGGGTGAATTGAAACCCCAGGAAGGGTACAGTAACCGCTTGAAATATTCCGCACTGAAACAACACAAGCAGAATTAATCCATTAAGATTCTTAAATAATTTAATAATGAAAAGAACCCTTTTGCCTTGGCTGCCAGGACTCTCAATGTAGAACTGAAGCCTCAATTGCAGTAGTTAAATGATTATATCTAATTCCCAGCATGATCATCTTTTTTTCTTCCTGCTTCTGTCCTTTAAACTCTCTTTTTAGTTGAAGTTTTTAGCAGTCCTATCAGAAATATATATATTTTTTTATTTCAAGTAAACTCAAATCTTTTTCAAAGAAGATAGGGTGCCAGTTAAAAATAGATTAAAATTGTAACAATGAAAAGAGGTTTAGAGTTATGAGCTATCAAAAGGCGAAAGAATAGGTGAAATAGACTTAGCATCTGTTTCTTGTATTGATCCCCCAATTCACCATGGTAAGCATTAGCATGACGATGTTCACTGCTTATTTTATTACATGCTTAGAGAAGGTATTTAGGTACAAGTTAGAATCTGTGGTACTACTCTATTTTTAGAAAGTTGGAAGGGACTTTAAGTAAAATAACTATTAACCTCTGAAAACACGTTGTAATCTAGACACCACCTTAAGGGCTTTTTATACAGCTCTATCTAATCTTCATAGAACCACTGAAAGTTATAATTGTCATTTTATAGTTGAGAAAATTGAAGTCCATGGAGATTATGTGTGTTGCTCAGAGTCACGCCCCTAGTAAATTGCAGAGCAAAGATGTGAACCCAGTGCTATCTGGAAATATTCTTTTCCACTGTACAAATACCTCCTTAGTGAACTTCCTGAAGGATCATTTCAACTAATCAACCTCTCATGCAGAATCCCATTTAATCACATTTAATGTAAATGTTTACTTTCAAAGGTATCCCTGCCATTCCCTTAGAAATGCATTCTGGTGCTTAACACCCCACTCAAGGGAATCAAATTGCTCTTTCCAACTAAGTTTATCTTTTGTATGGTCTCCCAAGTTCTTTCTCTTTTGTCTTTTGCTCAGTTGAGAGGAAGACTCTCAGAGACATTAACTACACACTGTGAGAGACATGAGGGAAAATACAGTGATCAGGTATTTATATACCAATAAAATACAAATTATTAGATGATTTAATGACAGCTCAGTTGGGGATTTCAGAATGAACTGCTCACACTCCCTACATTTGAATAACTATCCTAGTCTTTCAGAAGTCAGTGTTGCCATGAAATCCTATGAGGGAGAGATTTCCCCCCATTTCAAAGTTATATATTTTTTAATTTAAAATTACTCTCAGAAAATAGGAAGCTGATAAAAATGAACTCTAGTTTTATTTTTAGAGTGCAATTAAAGGGCTGTTGATAATTTTGTGTCTCAACTGATGCAAAATAATGATATGCTAACTTATTATAATTGAAGAATTTAGCATGACATTTTTGTATGTCCAATATAAGAATATTTTTACTCCCAATTCCTTCATTTTTTTCTCCTTTTTTTGTTCTACTCAGAAAAAAAAAAAACATGAAAATGCAACAAAAACGTGGACTCTATTGTTAGCTGGTAGCACTGCAGCTCAGCTGTGGTGAACCTGTGACAGTGTGGTAGGCTTGATTTCCAGTGGCTGAGTGCCCTGTGCTTGCTGAAATGAAAGAATTCAGTACCAAGCAAAGCTGCTCATTAAACAAGCTTTTGCCAAGTCAGAGAAACTTTATTTTTCCTGCCACAGTATAAGGTACCAAGTGCAATTCTGCCAACTTCCAATTTAACCCCAGCAATGGGAATCTGGAAAAGCTTGGAAAATGAGATGTGCATGATAAAGAAAGTTTACTTTTATTGTGCGCGTTTAGTATACTACCTTGCCAAACTTTTAACCAGAGCTTCCAACAAACAACAAAATGGACTTATTTGAGTCCCTAGGCTTTTATCTCTACCTCAACTCTGCCCTTCATTCCCTCATGAAGGAACTAACAAGCTGTGCTGTGGCCAAAAGGCAGGCAGCCGCAAAGAAAAGGAGAAAAAGCAAAGTCTGGTTAATTCCAGACCCTGGCTAATTGGCATCCAAATAATTAAGAGCTGGCTTTAAAATAAAATGCCCGACACCTAATAGAGGCCCAGTGATGAATAAGGCACAGGGAAGAGTATTCAAAATTTTGGAACATTTATCAACTAGTAGGAGTCCAAGGCTATGGGCTAAAAGCAGGAAGTTAAATAGAAACAGAGATGGCTATAGGAGAGAAGAAATTAGACAGCTAGCTGGCAGCAGCTAACTCATCTAATAGCTGGAAAAGAAAGATCAGCTTTCACTTTCAATTATGAGATGCTGAGTAGTTGGTAGTTTGAATAGTATTTATTCTCAAAAGCCCTTTTTTTTGTATTATGTTCCTTGTATTATGTTCCATTTATGTTGTATAATAAATACCCATCTATAAACTAGAGATAAAAACCTGGGAGAAACACTTCTCTGGCTATGTCTCCAGGTTCAATTAAAATGGAAGGTGAAGGCAGTCACCCAGAAGATTTAAAGGAAAACAGTCTCACTTTTGCCTAAATTAACAGGCAAATTCAGCCCAAAGCTTATACTTTGCTTTAACTCCAGTACTTAACTATTGTTGAGTAGAATTGATCATCCAAGGTAATACATTTGGTAGATGTTAAAAGGCCACTCTTAGAAATTCAATGCCAAATGATAGTTTTTTTTTTTTACAGAGTTACCATGGAGATAGATTCTACACAAACGACAAAATATTTAATAAATGGCAAGAAAAGAAATTGCCTATGTGCACTTTAAAGAGGTGACTTCTTTCTTTGCCTTTTGCTGTTCTACATGCAAGCGCTTTGGAAAATGCCAATTTTGGATGTGATGCATCTCTGCAACCTTTGATCTTCCCTAAAAAGAATGACAGATTTCTAGTCTTAAAATGGTAAACACTTCTGAATTGATACCCTGTAGCCCACAATGAGCTCCTATCTCTTGTCAAAACATTACACCATTTTCTGGAACACCTTGCTTAAACTGAATATCCACTTTTGTCCCCTTGGTGAGAGTTTCTGGAAACTCTGAGTCAAAATGGTAATTCTAGAGGCACTTGCTTTTAGGTGAACTACAGAACTTCTTGTAGGAGGACCTTTAGGAATCTGTTTAGTGAGCTCAGGGTAAGCAATGTTGGCTCAGCCTGCCACTGTCTTTTGGGAGGTGGCAAAGTCAGTAAAATGGTCAGTCCTATACACAGCAAATTGGCTTCCACAAATGCATCTTCAGCAGACACCCAAATCACAGACCTGAAGAAAGGTGCCCTTTCTCTTTTGAGAATTTGTCTCTTGAGACACTCATAGTCTCAGGGTATTTCCTGTTTTCTCAAAGATGAAGAACTCTGGGAGACTGAGAGATGATATCTGAACTAGGAATTAGGGTATCTGACCTCCAGTATTAGCTTTGCCACTGACAAGTTATGACCTTGGATTATTCATGTAACTTCTCTGAATTTTATTTCTTTCAACCCTAAAATGAAAATGTTGGACTATATGTCCCTTTAGGTCATGCAAACTCTCAGAATCTCATGATCTTAAATTAGTCTATAATTACCCTTTAGGCTCAAAGGCAAAGACCATTAAATCTGATTGACTTGGTTTAAAAGATAAAATCATGGAAGTGCTAGGGTAATAATTTTCTTTCTCTGAATTGTGCTCTTCAGTCTTGGAGCCCAAGAGCCCATCTATGTATTGGAACCTTTATATTCCAATCTCTGTTTAGAAAGGAGAGAAACAAAATATTAACAACAAATACTCCCATTAGAAACAAGAAGAGGACCCAAGATCTCTACTGTGACCTACTGACTGAGGTCATAGTCTCTTGTTTTGTTACTGAGCCGGCCCAGGCTGACAAGACCTGCATTGGATAATGTCCCAGGGTGACCTATCATGACCATTTGAAGGTTGTAAACCTGATGAGAGTCGCAAATCCTGATTTACAAACATTTTTTTCTTCTCCTTTTGGGTAGGACTCAAGTGCATATACTCAAATTTCATCTCAGGAACACTTCAGGAAATTCCATATATTCTCACAGTATTGCTAAAAACCTGAACTATAAAAAAAGACTTAAAGTTACAATTTTAAATGCCATTCTTTATGACTTCTGACCTATATCTTTCCACCACTCAATATTCTTCACAACGTGCAAAATAGATGGTGGCAAGATGAATGAACAGTAAATTATAATGATGCAAAACTCAATCACCCAGGAGCCATGGACAAAAGAAATGCTGGAAGGATATCCTGCAGCTCAGCTTCTAATATTTACTCTCACATTCCAGAATCTTGATGGCATAAGAAACTATTTGCACAAACTCATGTGTCTTAAAATATGCCGTGCTTGCAGGCATGGGTGTATACAAAAGAAAAGTCAAGAACCCATCTATTTAGAGAATACAAGAAGAAAATGATATTTTCAGAATTAAGAATTCAGGTTTTGCTTTCAGACTACTGATTCAAAACTCCTATACTAGCTAAAATCTATTGTTACAGTAGTGATGTGTCACTTTTCCCTCTGTGCTATTTTAACCACACAATTGTTTGGGAAAAGATGCCAAGTACATAGACAAAATTGTGAACGCTTGGTTTTTATTCATTTATGGTATTTTGGGGGGGGGGATCAGATACTTACTATAGACGTAGGTTGACATGTGATATGTAGTTATTTATTGGAATTTTTCTGAAAGGTGAAAATGAGCAAATTTTGCCATTGATAAAGTTTTGGGACGAGCAAGAACTAGGCTCTAACTGGCCCTGTTTATTTGTGAGCATATACTAAGTATTTTTGGCTTCCTTGGGTAGTATAAGTTAAACCTCATAGCCTTGTTTCTCCAGAGTTTCTCCCTTCTGTTAGCATTCAGAAAATAAGAGAACTCCCAGATTCCCAGTGGGTGGGCAGCCTCATCACTAGACCCCCAAGCTGGTTCTATCTTAACATGTTTCTAAGATGAGGAGTTTGCCAATGCACCAGAGACGTAGCAAGCCAAGCCAGATGACATCTGTGATTTGATGAGATGTTGGAGAAAAGGCATATTTAATATGTGACCTCATTGATACCATTCCATCCACTCTCAACTGGCCAGCTCAGGGATGGAGGAGGGCAAGCAGGTTTCAGTGGCCTGGAGCAGCTCTTGGGCTATTGCCCGTGGATAATCGCTGTTCTTTTTTTTAGTTTGTTTGGCTTTATTCCTAGGGCAATAGGCATTTTTGCTAGCGTTTGGCCATGGAAATGCTAACTGAGTTGGAAGTGACACTGGATTAGAACATTTTTTAAAAATAAATTCAGAACATATACATTCAGAGATTTACCTTGAGAAGCAGAATAGTCAGTGGTTAAGCCTTCAAAGATGACAGCCCCAGCACTCCCCTCACTAACAAGAGACTGCTGACTTTCCTGGACCTAGTGTCTCATCAATAAAGGAAAGATACAAACAGTGCTCTCCTTAGAGGCTTTTGTTAGGATTAGATGGATTAATTCATGTCAAATGTTTAGGAAATAACCTGCCATAGATCAGATAGTTGTAGATATGCGGCGTTATTTCTGAGGGCTCTGTTCTGTTCCATTTATCTATATCTCTGTTTTGGTACCAGTACCATGCTGTTTTGCTTACTGTAGGCTTGTAGTATAGTTTGAAGTCAGGTAGCATGATGCCTCCGGCTTTGTTCTTTTGGCTTAGGATTGACTTGGTGGTGCGGGCTCTTTTTTGGTTCCATATGAACTTTAAAGTAGTTTTTTCCAATTCTGTGAAGAAAGCCATTGGTAGCTTGATGGGGATGGCATTGAATCTATAAATTACCTTGGGCAATATGGCCATTTTCACGATATTGATTCTTCCTACTCATGAGCATGGAATGTTCTTCCATTTGTTTGTATCCTCTTTTATTTCCTTGAGCAGTGGTTTGTAGTTCTCCTTGAAGAGGTCCTTCACGTCCCTTGTAAGTTGGATTCCTAAGTATTTTATTCTCTTTGAAGCAATTGTGAATGGGAGTTCACTCATGATTTGGCTCTCTGTTTGTCTGTTATTGGTGTATAAGAATGCCTGTGATTTTTGTACATTGATTTTGTATCCTGAGACTTTGCTGAAGTTGATTATCAGCTTAAGGAGATTTTGGGCTGAGACAATGGGGTTTTCTAGATATACAATCATGTCGTCTGCAAACAGGGACAATTTGACTTCCTCTTTCCTAATTGAATACTCTTTATTTCCTTCTCCTGCCTAATTGCCCTGGCCAGAACTTCCAACACTATGTTGAATAGGAGTGGTGAGAGAGGGCATCCCTGTCTTGTGCCAGTTTTCAAAGGGAATGCTTCCAGTTTTTGCCCATTCAGTATGATATTGGCTGTGGGTTTGTCATAGATAGCTCTTATTATTTTGAGATACGTCCCATCAATACCTAATTTATTGAGAGTTTTTAGCATGAAGGGTTGTTGAATTTTGTCAAAGGCCTTTTCTGCATCTATTGAGATAATCATGTGGTTTTTGTCTTTGGTTCTGTTTATAAGCTGGATTACATTAATTGATGTGTGTATATTGAAACAGCCTTGCATCCCAGGGATGAAGCCCACTTAATCATGGTGGATAAGCTTTTTGATGTGCTGCTGGATTCGGTTTGCCAGTATTTTATTGAGGATTTTTGCATCAATGTTCATCAAGGATATTGGTCTAAAATTCTCTTTTTTGGTTGTGTCTCTGCCCGGCTTTGGTATCAGGATGATGCTGGCCTCATAAAATGAGTCAGGGAGGATTCCTATCTGATCTTTGACAAACTTGAGAAAAACAAGCAATGGGGAAAGGATTCCCTGTTTAATAAATGGTGCTGGGAAAACTGGCTAGCCATATGTAGAAAGCTGAAACTGGATCCCTTCCTTACACCTTATACAAAAATTAATTCAAGATGGATTAAAGACTTAAACGTTAGACCTAAAACCATAAAAACCCTAGAAGAAAACCTAGGCATTACCATTCAGGACATAGGCATGGGCAAGGACTTCATGTTTAAAACACCAAAAGCAATGGCAACAAAAGCCAAAATTGACAAATGGGATCTAATTAAACTAAAGAGCTTCTGCACAGCAAAAGAAACTACCATCAGAGTGAACAGGCAACCTACAAAATGGGAGAAAATTTTTGCAACCTACTCATCGGACAAAGGGCTAATATCCAGAATCTACAAAGAACTGAAACAAATTTATAGGAAAAAAACAAACAACCCCATCAAAAAGTGGGCAAAGGATATGAACAGACACTTCTCAAAAGAAGACATTTATGCAGCCAAAAGACACATGAAAAAATGCTCATCATCACTGGCCATCAGAGAAATGCAAATCAAAACCACAATGAGATACCATCTCACACCAGTTAGAATGGCAATCATTAAAAAGTCAGGAAACAACAGGTGCTGGAGAGGATGTGGAGAAATAGGAACACTTTTACACTGTTGGTGGGACTGTAAACTAGTTCAACCATTGTGGAAATCAGTGTGGCGATTCCTCAGGGATCTAGAACTAGAAATACCATTTGACCCAGCCATCCCATTACTGGGTATATACCCAAAGGACTATAAATCATGCTGCTATAAAGACACATGCACACGTATGTTTATTGTGGCACTATTCACAATAGCAAAGACTTGGAACCAACCCAAATGTCCAACAATGATAGACTGGATTAAGAAAATGTGACACATATACACCATGGAATACTATGCAGCCATAAAAAATGATGAGTTCATGTCCTTTGTAGGGACATGGATGAAATTGGAAATCATTATTCTCAGTAAACTATCGCAAGGACAAAAAACCAAACACCGCATGTTCTCACTCATAGATGGGAATTGAACAATGAGAACACATAGACACAGGAAGGGGAACATCACACTCCAGGGACTGTTGTGGGGTGGGAGGAGGGGGGAGGGATAGCATTAGGAGATATTCCTAATGCTAAATGACGACTTAATGGGTGCAGCACAACAGCATGGCACATGTATACATATGTAACTAACCTGCACATTGTGCACATGTACCCAAAAACTTAAAGTATAATAATAAAAATAAATAAATAAATAAATAAAAGAAAAGAAAATAACCTGCCATATAATGAGTGCTGCACTAGGCTACTTTAAAGTTTTTATCTTTGAAGCTCAGTGTTTTAACTTTGGCTATTTCATGAAAATACATGACTAAGCAATATCTACTCAACACATTTGTTACTCTCTTTCTAATATTTCACTAGATTGTTATTGATCCATTCATAGAATATTTATTGAGTGTCCCCTATGTGAGAGGCAAGGTGCTTGGAAGGCAAGATAAAGCAATGCACAAGAGATGCCTGAGCCCCATCCTCAAGGAGCCAAGTGTCTAGTTGAGAAAACACATGGTAAATAAGTAAGCAAATGAATCAATCAAGTAATTATGGATTGAGATTGGGCCTTAGAGGAAATCAATGAAAGCAATAGCGATAGTAGAGAATAATGATAATAGGGTCTTAGGTGGGGAGATGAGAAGTGGCTTCTCTAAGGAAGAGAATGGGGTGAGTGAGCATTCCAGGTAGTGGGAATACGAAGAAGCAGGCATAAAGATCCAGGTGCAGAAAGCACTGTCCAAGAGCCAGAGTGGCTGGAGATAAGTAAAAAATGAGGAGGAAGTTGCAGTGTCAAGGGCTTGTAAGCCAAGGAGTTACTTGGGGTGATTTGCATTTCCTGAACATTCCTTTAGCTGCATAATAGAGAACAGATTGAAGGGGGACCCTGATGGGAGTGAGGAGACGAGGTGCAGTCACAGGAATCTAGATCTAGAAAGGGGATGGTGGCTGGGATGAGGGTGTTGGCGGTTGCTGTAGGCGTAATGGGTAGATTCGAGGGATGTTATGGAAATTGAATCAACAGGACTTGCTGCAAATAGATTGGACCTAGGCTGTGAGAGAGAGGGGAAAATTAAGGATATGAAATGGAAGTCCTTACCTTAATTTTTGATGATAAATATGAATACCAAGTCATTGACACCACAGGAACAACCTTTACATATTTAAGAGATGATTTACATATAATACATTTAAACATAGAATCCTATACTGTGCCTTCTGAGACAGAAAATAGTAGCTGTAAAAGCCATATGATATTTTAGGAATTTCTTCACTGGCTATGAGAACACTGGGTAAGTGTCATTCATTTTTCTCTTTGCTAGGTTGCCTGTGGTCTCAGATGTATCAACTGTCAGTCTCCCAAACTCTCCATCCCTTTAGGTTATGGCTTCTAAACTACATAATATTTTCAAAATGCTTTACAATTCTAAAACATGTTTAGCATTATGTTATGGGCAGTTTGAGATATTTGTCTTCCTAGTTTGAAGCCTTGGGCAAAGTATTAACCTCTCTTGAACTGTTTCCACAACTGTAACATGGAAATTAGTAGAAGTACCTTCATCAGTGGGTTGTTGTGAAGATGAGATGACTTAGTACCTGTAAAATGCTATGTAAATGCCTGTCACATGGCATGATTTCAATAAATTTTAGCTATTAATGTTAGTAGTCTAGATACGCTTCTTAAGAGGCGTGTGCTTCAGTTTCTTCATCTGCAAAAGTGAAGATAGTTTCTTCCACAGAAGCAAGTAAAAAAAACTGGTTTACTTCGGGAGGCAAAGCTTGCAGTGAGCGGAGATCGCACCACTGCACTCTAGCCTGGGCGACAGAGCAAGACTCCATCTCAAACAAACAAAACAAACGAACAAACAAACAACAATAACAAAAAAACTGGTTTACTGAAAAAAATATAGTGTCTTTCTGAGGAATTTGTAATTCAAGAAAAGTTACTAGTAGTTTTTTGGGTAGAATTCACCAAAGGCATAATACTTGGCCAATCACATTACACAATGCCAAATGTTCAGAAATTCAGAAACACCTATCTCTTAAGGTAGTTTTTTTTTTCAATTTTATCTGCAATTTTGTATTCAGAGAATTGCCACTACTTTGTATGCATGAAGCACTATTACTATTTCTAGTACCTTTTTATACTGTCCTACAGTAAGACAGGATTTGAGCTGGATTACAATAAAGTGCTCAGAGGCCATAAATCATTTAAATAAAAGTAACAGAACTAAAGCCAATAAGGAAGGGAGAAATGATGTAAAGATTTTATAAATATTTTATGTTGTCTATAAGTAGAAATTTTTCATGCAATTACTTCAGAATACTTTACAATCTTCTAATTAATCTTCATAAAATATCTGACATGGCAAGGTAGCAAGTATTGCCCTCATACCACGAATATGAATTGTCACTGTTTGGCTAAAGTAGAAGGTTGGGCATAGTCAGCATATATAGCTAGTCCAAAAGCATGCTTTCTCCAAACACACACGAGTTTTTTAAAAATTTTTTCCTGCAATTTCAAGTCACTCCATGATTAACTTAAGAGAGGAGGATCTATTCAAACGTAAGAATTTTTTTATTGATTCATCAAAGTTGTAACATAGAAAGCATAAAACAAAAAAAATCTGTTAACATTCATAAAATACTATTATGCAGTTGTAGTCAAAGCACAGAAACAATTTTTATTAAAGAGTTTTTTGCTCAGCATTATACTTTAAGCATTTTTATAACTCCACAATCTTTTGGCAACGATAGGAAGTTGCTGCCTACCATTCAATCAAGTTGATGCACTATAACTTAATGAGCCATTAAGTTATAATAACATTTAGGTCATTTTCAATTTTTATATTATGAATAATAATTGTGATGCAAGTCTGGCTTCCCATCTTTTGGATTACTTCCTTTTAGTAAATTATCAGATAGGAGATTACTGAGAATGTCAAAGAATATGAATATTATTGCTTCTCAGTTTGCACTGCCATCAGCAATACAGGAGGTTATAAGTTTTGCTCCCACTATTTAAACATAGGTGCTCTCACTTTTTCTACTTTCATGAGTATAATTGATGAAAGTTTGCATTTGCTAATATAGTAACTTTAAATTTTGCGTTCTGGCATTCAAAGATAGGTGAATTTACTCCATTATACTAATTATATTATATTATTTGCACACATTCATGTGCAAATACATAAGTATATATTAATATAAGTAATATATATCACCCTACTGATGAATCATTTTGTCTCTATGCTTAGATCAGTGATCTTTTTTTTCTTAAACAGGTTTTTCTAGAAATAAGTAATACCACATAATATTTTTAAGTCTTTTGCTGAGAAAATCCTGTAAACTCCCCAAGTGTCAGGTGTATCATCCATTCTTTTTACTACTATTTTGTAAGGACCTCAAGAAATGGATATACAGATTTAGTAAATAATCCAAAGAACAAGCCCTACTCTTAAGAAGCTGTTGTTTCAAGAAACCGAAGCAGATAGTTAGAGGTCTTTAAGAATGGATTGCATCTCCTTTCTCCTTCCCTAGCCTACCCCATCTCATGTCACTTTATAGCCCTTTGGATCTGAGTGATGTAAATTCTAACAATGGAGACTTAGTGAGGGCAAAATATATGAAGGGAAAACGAAGTAAAATACAAGTTGTGATGTGAGGAAAGCAGTGCAATGCATGTTTGGCACACTCGTGTGCCTTTAGGTGGTATGTGTATTTGTGGCTGTGTGTGGCTGCATGGTTTCTTGTCAAGAATTCAAGTGCTGGAATTAGACCGAGTTCAGATTACGTTTTTTTGCCACTTGCTGACTATGTGATCTTGGGCAAGTTGCTAAACCACTCTGTGCCTCAGTTTCCTCATCTGTAAAATGGAGATAATAAAAATATTTACTTTCTGAGGTGGTTGTAGGATTAATCCGTGGAAAGCCTTTAGAGTGCATGGCACATAGTAAATGCTTAATAAATGTTAACTATGATTATTGTTATTGTCACTGTATAAGAGCTTATTTCTCTCAGTAAAGAATGATTCAGTAGAGACATTTTATTCCCTTTTATTTTGTGGCACATATTCTTAGATGTTCCAAGATATTTTCCCATAGGGAATGATTTGAGCAGTATCTGGAAGATTCTGTTCTTAATTGTATCCTCCACTAATTTGCCAAGTTCCACTATTACAGCCATTCCTTTTATTTAGTCTTGCCCTACTCATTTTACTGAAATGCAGAAGGGGCGGGGTATATCTGCTGTCTCCTTCGTATCAACATGGTTGTCGGGACTTTTTTAGTGGTCAAGACCACACAGGAGCCCATGCTGCTTCTAGAGGAAGGCATGGAGATGGGAAAGGCAGTCCTTCCAGTGGAGGAAGGAAGAGGGTTGACAGCTGGCTCTATATGCTCCCCTGGATATCGCATCTTGATGTGAGATGTGTCTGGAAAGGCTCTAACTCTCTGGGAATAACAGATTCAAGAGTTATATGGTGTATCTGAACAAGAGGTTTCTGCATGACACTTGAAAGGATATTTTCCTAGAATCAGTAATCTGTGATCTGCCCCTGGGTTCACAGGGAGGATCTTGTCCACAGAGCTCTGTGGACAGAAATTGGCTGATAGCAAAGAAAAAACAGAGGGAAGAAAAGAATTAAAAATGAAACCCAGGTGCAAATGCATGTAATCCCAGGGCTATGAAGGAGCAGAAAACTTGCCTTGACTGAGAAGCTTTTTCAAAATTAAGTGGCGCAACTATTTTTAGGTTCTGGAAAAAAAAGTCCTTTCTTCCCACTAACACTAGTTTTTAGATACATAAATGACAACATTTCTGGCTAGAAAAGAAAATGAATTTCCACCTAGGACAAGTTTATAGAAAGGTTAATCATATTGATAGAATAAAATAGGCCAATTTTCACTGCAAAGAAATATTTCAGTGTGCAGAATTTCCAGAGAGAAGAACATTTTCTCATGATTTTCATTTTGGAGTTAAATTTACAGGAAACAGCTTTTAGCTCTCAAGTAGAAATAGTTTTGAATTTTTTTCTCTTTTCCTTCTAGTAATGCAGAGATCCAGAACACCATCTTCTTGTTGCTGTTGCTGCTTATAGACTTTTTAAAATATAAAAATAGTGGGTTCTTCAATTTACTGATGGTTGACTTGACTCCAAGAGGTGACCATACCTGCCGTGACCTCCCTTGTCACAGTCTCTGGAACTGTGGGCATTCTCAGGAGGCCCAGTGCCTGCCATGGTATGGCAGTGTGGAGCAATCCAGTGCTCTGCTTCCTAGAAGCGTTGGCCTATCTCTCCATTGAGAACCTTCTTGGTCAACACCTGTTTCTTCCTCATGCTTGCTACCTTGCTTTCTCAGACCATCAGGACAGTCTGAATATAAATGCCACATGTTTGTGTGTGTCCTTCTATCTCTTCCCTAGAAATTGAAACACAACTCAGTTTTGAAAGTTTGAATCCTTATGAAATCTGAAGTTAATAAAGATATATCAGCAAGAGAAACAGAAAACAGCACATCAGAAAAAGGAGAAACTGCCTGTGCAGGGAAGGCCTTGATACTGTGTCTAAAGATGAACTGCTTCTGGTGGGTGTTTGCTAGGCCTGAGAGAAGAGTGCCTTGTTGGACAAGACATCTTGCTTCAGAGAGGAAAGTAATTTGGCTGCATCTTATAGTCCATTTATCTCATTGCTTACTATGAAATTCTCCTCTCTGCCTTTGAAACACTTACTTTATCATCTGTCAAGTCCAGTTGGAAACAGGGAATTAGAAATGTTGGCTGCTTCCAGCTCTGATTCAGCACTCCAGGGGCATAAGAGCCAGGAGAAATATGCTAGTCCACAAATGAGCTGCTCATAGTAGCAGGTGGTTGATGAAGGCTGGTCAGTAAATAGTGCTGAGTCCTAGAATAACACCATGCAATAGGCAAGCGTTTAATAAATGCAATCCAAAGGTGAACTTGCGGCAGAGACCTAAACCAAGGTGACTGTATGTGGTCAGCAACACGTATGAAGCCTACTCTGTGTTTGTCTTTGCTTCCTGAGTATGACCCTTTGAGGCAAGCCTTTTTAGGGGCATGGAGCCAGGGACAAGAAAATTACAGTACTTGAAAGAAAAGCCCTCCAAGACATGCACACCTGGCTAGCGGCTCAGAAGTGACTTGTGCCGTTTTAGAGATCTGCAGTCACTTCCCTCCACAAAGCAGCAGAAATGAACATCAAGGTCTGGCCTGCTGCCTCCTCCTCCCCTTCCTTCTACTCCCCCTCCTAAGTTTCAGCTTTCCAGAATTAAAGTTTGAATGTTTACTTCCTTTTTTGTCAAAGTGAGGGACGCAGTTGGAAAGCTTCTTAACAGGGGTTATACAAAGGCTAAATCAGTAGATGGAGGAAAAGGTCAAACAGAATTCAAGAACAAGGACGTCACGTTTCTATGGGCTTATGAGTAAAACATCCTCCTCTTTGTTATGATCTATACTTCTGAAATAAGGCATCCTGCTAGGCATTTTGTAAAGAATACTGCCTTACATCCGATCTTTAGTGTACAAGTACACTCAGGACACACAAGTCCACCAGAGGGTCATTAAAACTCAAAATATCCAAATTTCAATTTTGCCTCTTATTTGTTAACATGCTAACAAACCAAAAAGCTAATAATTATTCTGTCCTTCAGAATCATTCTCTGGGTTATAAACTCTTAGTCAATCATAACATACTCTCTAAAATACCATTCAAGAACCTTCCATGCTACTTGGATTCTATATTATGTTTCTACAACAGAAACACAGTTTATGTTGTTTAACAAAAAGATGCATGTGAAATAAAGAAGAGGCTAGAAGCATGGTGAAATCTCCCCTGTTGGAAGCATTTAGATGCCGGGTACCAGCCATCTGTGCTGACTGTTGTATGGGACCCTGCCCAGCCCTTCATTTGGCTTGGCTGCTCTGCAGGCCAGCTGAACTTCCTACTCACTCCACAGTCCAGTTGGATCTCAGCATCTGTCTCTGTATACACAGATTAAACACCTGCTGGTTTCTAAACACTCTAAAGACCTCTGCTGCCCAGAGAGTGAAGGGAGGTTACAGCTTTAACAGCACATTTGGGTGATTTCTGACACTCGCTACAATTAAATATACTGTACAAAATTCACATTCTCTCCAATGTATTTCCCTCACCAGTTCTCCTCCAGATATTTCTGTAGAGAGAGAATAGCACCAGGTATTGACCCACCTGTGTTACATAGTTGGAGGGCTGGTGTCTTCCATCAGGTCCCCCTCATAGGCCCAGCAGCCTGGTATTCTCTTTTGCCAGAGGTCCTATAAAAGACAGCTGGGTTACCACTCCATGCACTGGGCCTGCGAGAAGATGGGGACATGTAAGAGCCCAAACTCTTAAGTTATTGCCATCATGTTAACTATAGGGTTTGATGCAGTCAACCAAGCACCATGAAAGACAGAGTCTCACAGCCCCTTCTGATGATACCTGCTGTGAGCATGTGGTACCTCCTCCCATCCCCACTGCCTGCCTTTAACTGGCCATGGTGTACAGCATTTTTTGCAACCTTCCTCATGTAGCAATGATCTACATTTACATTGGAGTATTTGTGAAGAATTCAGAAGTCTCTCTACCCTTGTCTTCCATGTAATCTATGCTAACTCATTGAGCATGCTGTTTTATGTCTAGACCTCTCATCTTTGAAGAGATAGAGACATAAAGTTGTCCCTACAGTGCTGAAACACTTCACATAGGCTCATTTTAAAATACCTTCAGGTCTTTTCATTGTTTCTATTTGAGATTTTTTTGGTCTCTATGCTAACAAGTATGCCTTAGTAGGAAAAGTCTTTTTATTTCTTTTAGTTTCCAATTTTATCATAGTTGAGTCACGTTATTTGTATCTTGAAGGAATTTTAATACTAGTAGAGGCTGGAGACTTGATTCTACCTCATTAACGCATCTCCTTCTGCCCCTCCTTTTTTGGTCTTAAAGTCTTCCAAAGCAGCTCAGCAGTCTTTCTCTATTTCTAGGCATATACTTTTAATAAACTTTCCCATAAGTATCAATGACAGAGTGCTTGCAGATGTATTCTGGGATTGTCAATGGAACCAAAAGTTTATGTGTCAAACATGAAAAGGAGAGTTAGTGAGAAAACTAGTGCCTCTCATCTCTCTCACTAATATATCTCAGATAGCATTGAGAATGCATAGAGGAGAACACTCTGTAAGAAAACATTTTATGAAATATGTATCACAGCAGCCATCATGTTCTGTTCTTCAAAGGGCCTCATTTCTCACCTTCCTGGGATTAGCTATGGAACTGGAATATAGATTAGGCAATATCCATTCCTTTATAGCTAGATAACTTTCACAGGTTCCTAACCCACTCGCCTTTGATTTTATATGTTGTTGTTCTAGAAAAATAAATAATCATCATGTGAATAGAGCTCTGCTTTTCTAGATATTATTACACATGATCCATAACCTACTCCTCATTCATCTTTTATCACATCATTTAAGTGTCTTTTAGCTTTATAAATCTTTCTTTTCTGCCCCTTCCACATCCTCTTGAACTATACTTGTCCCCACTCCAAACCAAAGGAACTAAGAACCTTGCCCATAATAAAATTCCAAGCATTTCCCCAAGTATAGGAAAAGAGGAGTTGTTAAGGATGCAAGATAATTTACTCATGAATGACTTCTTAGCTGAACCAAAATAGAAATAAACTTTTCCAAGAGTGGAAGAAATGGTGACCTTTTGTTCCACAGATTTTCACAAGACAAATTGAATCTGACACCAATTGTCTTGGATCTGGACTCAGAGGAAATTCTCTCTAGGCCATTTGGGAAAGGAGTTCCCCCCTCCTACTCCCAGTTCACCCCAAACTCTCCCATCCCAGTCCTTCCATTCCCACCCATTATTCTAGGGCCATAGAGATGACTCAGAGTCTTAACTTATCAAAGTGCACTGGACCACCCATATGCATATTTCCCAAACCTGCACTGTCCTTTGGAACCCAGAAGGTTTGCTGGTTTTATGCCAGCCAACCTTGCACACAGGAATCTCCACAGGCTGGAAGCCCTGGTCCTTAGGATACACCTTTCCTAAATGGCCTACAACCCATTCTGCCTACAGGTCTGCAACCTCCCCCTCCCCAAAGTGGAATGAGGGGGTGGATCTAGGTCCCTATCATTTATAGAACCTACCATAGTCTTGGGGAATCTTCCCCCAACTTGATAGTTCTGTGCTGTCCTTCCTCTAGGTAATGTCTGCCTTTACCCCTAACATAATCCCTCCATGGGATGCCAGAAACAAAAGGGATACTTCTGGGAGCATTTGCTTTAGCCCCCTCAGTTTCCCTGCCTAATAGAAACTATTCAGATGCCAGGATATTCCAACCTTAGGGGAGGGTCAGGCTCAGTGGCTCACACGTGTATACCCAGGACTTTGGGAGGCCAAGGCAGGAGGATCACCTGAGGCAGGAGGTTCGAGACCAGCCTGGGCGACATAGCAAGATCCTGTCTCTACAAAAAGTTAAAAAATTAGCCAGGCATGGTAGTGCATGCCTGTAGTCCCACCTACTCAAGAGGCTGAGGTGGAGGATCACTTGAGCTCAGGAGTTCCAGGCTGCAGTGAGCCATGATCACACCACTGCACTTCAGCCTTGTATCATAGCAAGACTCCCACCTCAAAAAAAAAAAAAAATTAAAAACCTTAGAGGAAAAAACCACAGGAGGAAAATCACATAACTAAATGCCTCAATACGTTTTTTTACTATCAACATAAACTAAAACCTAGTCTCTTGTTAGCCAAGCTTTCTGAAGTTAACCTATGTTATCTATCTCTCTCAAGGAAGAAATGACCCAAGGTCAGGCTGATCTCTTATTCATTCCAAGGCACTATATCAGCAACCGAGTCATTAAACAAGGCCAACTCTGCCTTTTTCACTGTGAGAACTTCATTAGATTTATCTGAAGTGTGCTTGAAAAATAATCTAATTTATGTTGCTCCAAATAGTTTAATTAGAATTCAATTAAATTCAACAGAATGCATACATCATTTTACATGGTGCACCTTGATTTATTTTATTTGCTTTTTTTTTTAAAGATGCAGTGGAGTTATTTGACCCTGCAGTATTATATCCAAAATAATCCATTTCATGCATAAACAACCTGGTCTTCAGGAGCACTAAGGGGGAAAATAATGTGTGCTCATTATTATGCATGTCACGTACAACTCATTTGAATTTAGTCTCTTTGGCAACGCGTGCACCGGTGAGATAGGTGCATCATATCAGTTCACTTATACTTCCATAGAGGATATTTTTTAGCCCCTCCCTTGTTTTTCAGCAGAAACACACACACACACACACACACACTCAAATGGATCAATCAAGGAAAATAAATGATATTCAGATTCTGTTCAAATCACTTTCACAGTCATGACGAAAACTTTAGGGCGTCAAGGGAACCAAGGATGGAGTTTAAAACTGTCTTCTTTTTTTTTGTTTTTTGAGACGGAGTCTCGCTCTAGTGCCCAGGCTGGAGCGCAGTGGTGTGATCTCAGCTCACTGCAAGCTCCATCTCCCGGGTTCACGCCATTCTCTTGCCTCAGCCTCCCGAGTAGCTGGGACTACAGGCGCCTGCCACCATGCCCGGCTAATTTTTTGTATTTTTAGTAGAGATGGGGTTTCACCGTGTTAGCCAGGATGGTCTCGATCTCCTGACCTCGTGATCCACCCGTCTCGGCCTCTCAAAGTGCTGGGATTACAGGCGTGAGCCACCGCGCCCAGCCTTTAAAACTGTCTTCTTTATGGATAGTTCAAAATACTAAATCATCTGGAAATGGCTTTTCTGTTATGGAGTAGACATGCAGAACTGGGATACAATCTGTCTTGGGTACTATGTAAGTGCCATTGGAAGGATGCTGACTTTCCAGGAGATGACTGACTTTCCAGGAAGGCCATAAAAAGTCAGTCTATCTTTTGGGTTGTTGGTGGCCATGAATCAGATTAATATGGCAGAAATCTCCCATGGCTATTTCTGTTATTCCAGAAACATGGTGGGGATAGCAAGTGTCTTTTCCCTGTGTTTTCTTGCTCCCAAATTACTTGTAGCTGAAGCATGCACAAGTAGAAAGTGAAGCCAGTGTGCTCTTGGTTTACCAGTCTGCCGAAGCTGTTATCCTTAGCATTGTTCACCATCAGGCAGCATTATTGCTGCTGTTATATCAAAGGAGCATTAAATGGCTGTAAAAACCTGGGGATGGTGGTGGGGAGGAGGTAGGGAGCTAGAAAATATACTTTAGCACAAAAAATTTTTCGAGTTATAGTGTTTATTTTTCAGCTATTGAAGTTTTACTTCATTTTCCCTTTAGTGGAACTTTAAAAAAATGGATGAAGCCATTCCCATTTCTTTTATTTGAAAGACAAAATCTTAATGTTCTCTTATTTGGTATTTTGTCACATACCCATCAGATGTCCTGTGTGCCCGTGAAGAGTCTGGAAACATTATAGCAGCCTTTACTAGGTGAGACAGATGAGCAAGGTGCATTGAGTCAAAGATCTGAAATTACTTGGATTTACCCAAATTTTGACATAGGATAAAATGAAGGAAGTTGCGTCTTGGTTCAGGCTGCTGTAACAGCATATAGTCATAGGCTTCATAATGATTAGAGTCAATGATGGACGGCACATATAACAGTGGTCCCATAAGATTTTAATGGAGCTAAGAAAGTCTTATCACCTAGAGACGTTGTAGACTTCATAGTGTAGTAGCGCAATGTATTACTCAGACATTTCTGGTGATAGTGGTGTAAACAAACTTCTATGCTGGCAGTCGTACAAAAGTATAGCACATACAATTATGTACAGTAATACTTGTACTATATAATTACGTATTATAATACTTGATAGTAAACATGTTATTGGTTTATGTATTTACTATACTATACTTTTAATCTTTTAGAGTGTATTCCTTATATTTTTTTTTTTGTATAAAAGTTAACTGTAAAACAGCCTCAAACAGGTCCTTCAGGAGATATCCCAGAAGAAGGCATTGTTATCATAGGAGATGACAGCTTCATGGGTATTATTGCCCTAAAGACCTTCCAGTGGGACAAGATGTTGAAGGGGAAGACAGTGATATTGATGACCTTGATCCTTTGTAGGCCTAGGCTAATGTGTGTGCTGCATTTTAGTTTTAACAAAAAAGTTTAAAAAGCAAAATAAATAATGTTAAAAGTAGAAATAAGCTTATAGAATAAGTATATAAAGAAAATATTTTTCTATAGCTGTACAATGTGTTTATGTTTTGAGCTAAGTGTTATCACAAGAGTCAAAACATTTTTAAAAATGAAAAAAGTTTATAAGGTAAGAAAGATACAGTAAGCTAAGGTTAATTTACTATTAAAGAAAGGAAAATATTTTAACTAAATTTAGTACAGCCTAAGTTTATAAAGTCTACAGTAGTGCCCAGTAGTGTCCTAGGCCCTCACATTCACTCACCACTCACTCACTGACTCAAGCAGAGCAACTTCCAGTCCTGCAAGCTCCATTCATGATAAGTGCCCTATACAGGTGTACCATTTTTCTGTTTTTTATACCATATTTTCACTGTACCTTTTCTATATTTAGATATGCTTAGATACACAAATACTTACCATTGTGTTACAACTGCATACAGTATTCAGTACAGTAACATGCTGCACAAGTTTGTAGCCTAGGAGCAATAGTATAGGTGTGTAGTAGGCTATACCATCTAGGTTTGCGTAAGTACACTCTATGATTGCACAATTATTAAAATCACTTGAGGATGCATTTTCATTCTTAAGTGATACATGACTGTACCATAGACTGGGTGGCTTATAAACAACAGAAACCTATTTCTTACAGTTCTAGTGGATGGAAGTCCAAGATCAGGGTGCTAGGATGGTCAGGTTCCTGTGAGGGGCCCCCTTCCTGGTTGCAGACTGCCACTGTATCCTCACATGGCAGAAAGAGGGCAAGAGAGTTCTCTGGGATCCTTTTTACCCTGTTCATGAGGACTCCATCCTCATGACCTAATCAGCATCCAATGGCTCCACTTCCTAATACCACCACATTGTGGGGGAGGTAGGATTTCAACATATGAATGTTGGGAAGAAACAAACATTCAGTCCATTACGAGATGGTTTGTAAATGGTTTCATCTGGAGAACACAATAAATGACTGCTTTCCCTACCAGTCCTCGTTTCACTGGACTGGATTTCACTGAATTCCACTGAGCCAGGTGAACTGGAGTGTACATTTATGTTCACAAAAGTGATACTTCATTTTTTTTCCTTCTTTGTTCTTAAAGAAAGTGTCAGTGGTTCCCACAACTTGAGGGCCTGAGACTGGTTTTTAGTTTTATCCTTGGCAGTGGCTCCTCCTAAAACAGGCTAATTGCTTTTACATAGAATATGAATTTAATGAGACTGCTTATTTTCCGAATAAAAATCTTAGGTTTATAATCTGCCTGACATTTTTGTTTTGCCTGATGTTTTACCACAATGTTTGGTCTTGGTAGCTTTTAAAAAGGTTGAGCTTTTTATAAACCTCATAAACCAGCTTGAGTTGTCTTTTCTTTTCACTCCCAGCCCCCTCATCATTGTCTTTTTTAAAATAAATTTAATGTATATATTTAAGGTACACAACATGATGCTACTACATATATAAGATACACATATATATGGTAAAATAGTTACTAGAATGGAACAGATTAACATATCAAGTCTTTAAACATTCTCCTTAGATTGCCCTGCCTCAAGGGCTTTCTTTCCCACTGGTCTATCCTCCTTTTCTCTTCCATCTTAATGGCAACTGAGAAGCTTTTGAGATTTCCCACTTTATGACATCCCTTTCTTCTAATTGCCTTTTTCTCTGTTAAGCCTGAAGCAGGAGTGGCAGTAACAGAATTATATTTATTCATTTTTTTTGTTAGAATCATCCCTGCAGTAGAAATTTCAACAGGTCAAATTTCTTCCCCGTCATTATAATATTTAATTATGGTAAATATCCAATTTTCATTCTTATAGAAGACCTTTTCGTCTAGAATAAATTTTATCTAGCCCATGCTGCAAAAATTGGATTTCGATGTAATTTTGAGGCATCTTTTAAGGCAGTCTGTCAAAAGTGCTGAGATAAAATTACTCTTTTATTGTCAGGTTCTTGTAACAGGGCAATTGGAGTCATCTTTTGATGCAAAGAATGATGAAGAAAAATGTCAGCTAGCCTCCACTCTGAATTTTTTTACTACTTGAAAGCAAAGGCCAGATATCTTTGTCTTCTAAAATGAGGCATAACTCTCCTACTTATTTATCCAGGTTCTCTGCATGTTCTTTCAAGTTAAATGCATAATTGATTATCTCAGTTGATTATACATTTTTCAAGCAGGTTTTAATTATGTGTGGAGAAGTTCAGCACTCGATGGAATCTAATTTTCCCAATTTGCTCATCTTTAAATACACTACATTTCAAGCATAAAAATGTAGTAAATAAGTGACAAAATAATGAAATTTGACATGGGTTTTTATTTTAAGAGAAAGTGAGTCACCGATCCACTTGCATACTTTCTTTGTTTTTATTTATTCAATAGATTTTAAAGTTAGATGTTTGCCATTTGGCCTCAGAGTTCACTAACATAATTCAAAATGCAAAGCTAAAAGCATTGTGTAAGGAAAAATGCCAAAGTCATTTAGCAATGTATAAAGAAAAAAACAGCAAAAGTAATCCTTAAAAGGTTGCCCCCTCTTTCCTACTCTCCAAGATGTTATTAAGTGTGAGAACTAGAGTCAAAGTTCCTATTTAAAACTAAAATCTGTTAGTTTCATAATACTCATTTCATGTAAGACTTCTTAAATATTCCTCATTTCTTTTTTGTTTTCCTTCCTCAGTTTCTAAAGGGCAGGAATCCTCTAAACTTTCCAAACTGGAGAATAAACTTCTTAGTCAGAACTTGGGGAAAGAATGCTGAGATGCATGTTAACAATATTTTTTCTAGTTTTTTTCTAAATGTATCATAATGCAATTTTATAGACAAATTTAAGTAATCACTGAAAGTGTTGGTACTTCCAAATATACTTAAAGATAATTAAAACTATTCTGAATATCGACCATGAGGTAGTTACTGTCAGAGGCAGTTTATATAAACCACCTTATTTAATCCTCATGACAGCCTGTGGGATATGTATTATGATCTCCATTTTATAGATGAGGAAAATGAGTCTCAGCTAGTTAGTGGCAGTTAGGATCCAAATTCAGATCTATTTAGTTTCAAAACTTTTCATTTGACTATACCATGATGGTTTTCTGATGGAAGATGGCAAAGGCTCTTACCAACCAAGCTAGTGATTTAAAACTTATCTTTTTAGTTCAACCATTGTGGAAGACAGTGACTCCTCAAAGACCTAGAACCAGAACTACCATTTGACCCAGCAATCCCATTACTGGGTATATACCCAAAGGAATATAAATCATTCTATTATAAAGATACATTCATGCGTATGTTCAGTGCAGCACTATTCACAATAGCAATGATATGGAATCAACCCAAATGCCCATCAATGATAGACTGGATAAAGAAAATGTGGTACACATACACTACAGAATACTATGCAGCCATAAAAAGGAACAAGATCATGTCCTTTGCAGGGACATGGATGAAGCTAGAAGCCATTATCCTAAGCAAACTAACACAGGAACAGAAAACCAAACACAGCATGTTCTCACTTATACATGGGAGCTGAACCATGTGAACACATGGACACAGGGAGGGAAACAACACACACTGGGGCCTGCAGGGGGTCGGGGGGAGGGAGAGCATCAGGATAAATAGCTAATGCATGCTGGGCTTAATACCTAGGTGATAGGTTGATAGGTGCAGCAAACCACCTTGGCACAGGTTTACCTGTGTAACAAACCTGCACATCCTACTCATGTATCCCAGAACTTAAAAAAAAAAAAAATTGAAAATGTTAAAAAAAAAAAAAACCTTACCTTGTCAGTTGTCTCTAAAGTAAGAGTTCACATCCCAGGGGGATATGTGATCCCCTAGTATTACGGAAGAAAATATTATCATTACTTTATATGTGAAAAGGAAGAAAACAATATTTATTTTATATGTGGAAAAATAAGAAATTAAGCTTCATTAATTTTTAACATGTAAATTGACCCTTGTGCAATCACTCAGTTAAGTCAGACATTCAAATCTTTCTTGTTTTTCTTTTTCAAACAGCTGCATAATTTTATTTTTCTTTTCCTTATATTTTTCTTCTCTCTTTTATTCTCTTCCTTCCTTCTCTTTATTTTTAATAACAAATTTGTTGCGGTATAATTTACTTACCATACAATTTACCCATTTAAAGTGTACAATTCAATGGTTTTTAGTATATTAGTATTTCGTATACAGATCCATGCAACCGATACTACAGTCTATCAATGAACAATTTTATCACCTCAAAAAGAAATTCGTACCCATTCATTAGCTGTCACTCCCTACCTCTCCATACCCACAAGCCTAAGCAAGCAGCTGTTTCCTGTCTTTGTGGATTGACCTGTGCTGTGCATTTCATAAGAAGGGAATCATGTGGTCTTTTCTGACTGGCTTCTTTCGATGAGTGACTCTTTTAAGGTACATCAGAGTCTTTGACACAGGAGTGAATGTTCTGCTACCAGAAGGGGCTTTTCCTAACTTTGCTTTACTTATGTGGATCTGGTTAAAGGATTTTGCAGTTTTATCAGTTCAGTAACTAAACTTTGCAAAGAAATAGTATTGTTGATTTAAAAATAATTCCTACAGAGAAGCTGAAAGTCAAAGAGAATACCAAAATATACTGTAAGTAAGTAACACAAAAAAGGTCAATTAAAACTTCTCTTATTTTTAATCTGACCCTTCTTCATCAGCCACATTACAGAGTAAAACAAATAAAATAAAATGTAATCATATGCAACACAAGTATTAACTAAAATTTGTAACTGTCAGCAAGACAATTTTAAATATGGATTTATTTCCATTTTTATTAAAGATTGGCTTTGTTCTAAGTATACAGTATACCTTAAGATATTGCCTGACATAATGTTAGCAAGCAATTAAAAAACTAAGCAACCATAGCATAAAGATAACCTCTGCAGTTTGGGGGTGTGGGGAGGTTACATTTAAAGTTATGCAACTCATTACTTTAAAAAATTTTCATTAAATGTAATAATAATTGTTTAATTAGCCTCAAATTATTAAGAAATAAAATTCTTATACTATTGGGAAAACCCTTTTTCCTGTTACGGTAAAGATGGCTGCAATACACAGGAAAAACAGGATGGCCACAGATTAAAACACATTTTTGTGTTGACAATTAATGTTGAAAGACACATAGAAAGACATGCTGAAGATTTGAGGAAGCAAATCGTAGAACACTGATGCTTTGCCATATTGGGATGAAAGTACAGATGCATCCAGCATGCCTCCCTCAGACAGGCCTGTATTATGGAGCTAATGGAGTGAGTGGGAATGCCTCATTTGCAGAAAGAGATATCTGGTCTTCAATCTTGCCTCTTACTGAAACTCTTTTTTTAGCCATAATAAAAGCAGGATTTGTTTCTAACTAATGGAATGAGCAGATAAATATGAGGACATTATGGCTGGTGCTTACTTCATGTCTTTTGCTCGAAAATGTCAAAGAATGATTTCTTCTGAATTAAAACTCTACCCTGCACTTTAAATTCCTCTGTGCTTACCTCTGTTTACCCATATCTTCTATTATTATGATTTCTCACTGACCAGCCAAGTGATTCCATGTCAGTCCCTGCTTCTGAGACAGTAGGGCATTCCCTTTCCTGTGATGACATGCCAACTTCTCAAATTATGTCTCTCTCATTATTTAAAAAACAAAGACTCAAAACTATGTTCTCTAGAAAACATTTTCAGATTGGCTTTGTCCACTTTTAAAAACTAAAATTATCCCAACTTCCAGCAGTTTCATATAAATTTATTTGACTACATGGTTATTTTTATATTCTCTGTTTAGTTTAATTTATTTATGTTTCATGCTCCCTCTAAACTTCCTGGAGGCAGGGCCAAGCATTCCTTTCTCATAACCTGCACCCAGCAGGACTTGGCAAATGCTACTGACTGATTTGTTTCTCTGTGGCTAATCCCAAAACCCACAGAGTTTGCACATAATAAATGAATAAACATTGCGGGTAACTTGGCTACCAAAGAGTTTAATCAAATTCATAAAAGGAATAGATTTTAGGATCAAAGATACAAATTCCAAGAGTTGATGTGCACAGATCAGTATCTTCTAAAAGTAAGTCTGAATTGTGGAGTAGAAGAAAACATAAAGCTCATTATGTTAGCCTGAGTCCTGTAGAAGACAGATAGAGGCTTGTATGTTCTACTTTATTAAGGCATACAATCGCAAGGAGCAGGATTGAGGAAGGCAAAGAGGGAGACACAGCACAGGGGTGCAGGGTACACACTGAGAACCTTGTGAGTCAGGGCCATCTTCAGTATAAATGACTGCTTCACAGTGCATTCTGTGTAGAGGAAAAAGAGGGAAGAATGTGTCTGTCTGCTAGAGTTTCCTACTGGTCAGGTGCAGTAATTCCCCTGCACGTTCCAGTTGCTCATGAGTGGGCATGAAACAGGTTCCTGCAGGATCTGGTCCTCTGTATCAACTGAGAATCCCCAGGAAAGAAAGCATGAGATACACAGCCTGGGCATCGGAAACAGGGGACACAGGGCCCCTGGGTTGTGCCCACATAATGTTGGTTATAGCCTATGCAGAGTTGGTCATGGCAGCGACCACTGGAGCTGGAGTAAGTGCTGAGAGACACTGGAGATAGGTGAGATCAAAAGGATGAATATTGAAAGGGAGCATAAGAAGTGTCATACACACGTGTCAATCATCATATCCTTATTTTACATGAAGAAGCCCAAACCCAGAGTGAGAGATATGCGCAATCACGGAGCTTAGTTAGTGGAACTCATGGAGCCAGGGGCTTCCAGCTCCCTGTTTGGTGCCTTTTCAGTTTTCTATGTTACTTCTGTAAACATAAAACATACAGCATCCATGAGCATCTGTGACCGCTCCTCTCACACCAGTCTCAAAAATCTCCTACACTTAGTGCCAGTAAAACATTATGTTTAAAGCACTTCCTTGCGTCTTACTTGGTTTCTCTTATCTAATTAGAAAAACAAAATGGATACCATGGAGCCAAAGAACAGATTCAAGTCCATGAATGCAGAATGTGAGGCAAAGATACCCAATTAATGATAAATTTCTGGAGGTGTATATTTTCTTCTTGCCTAATAATCTTCTTACATATAAGTCTAATTAATGCTTGAATGTGATAAAAACCTTTCAGCAAAGAGCTTATAGAAGTCAATGGCCTAACTTCTGCAAACAAGAATCTTGTCAAAGAACATGGTAGAACACGCTTCTCCCACTTTCAAGGGGTATTGATTTTAGTCCAGGCAGTATACTTAGGTGTTCATTATGTATGCATGTTTGAATTCATATGCTGACTCAGATCTGACATGACTTTCCTGAGAATAGTTATCAGAATGAAGATGTCGCCACAGAAAAGTTGATGTGCTGTAATTCAAGATGATAACATAATTGTTTCACTTTTGTGGCAAAGAATTACAAGCAATATGATTATGTAACACTATGTTGAAATTCTTCATACCTTTTAAAAGAATGTATTCTTATAACTAAGAGAAGAAAACAAGATTAAGTTTATGCTTTATTTTAAATCTTACTATTTTGAATATCTAATTTGTAACACAAGTTTACTCTCAAAATTCTAAAGTCTGTTTCTTTAATAGAACGAAGTGCCGGTGGTAATGGTTATGTCAGTCTTTATGAATACAAGCTCTATTATAACAGGTATTTAGCTTCCAGCAGCACTATTTTTCTTGAGACTCATGCATTTTTCATTGTCTAGTCATTCTGAGTTTAAAGTGGATAGGATGTCCTTTTAAATGCATAAACAAAGAAGATGAAAATGTGTATCATAGTCTCCTCTCCATTTCTGCCACTAAAATTATAGGAACTATGTTTCTTATGTTAGAATGCATCTGGTGTGTTATTCCATATACTACATGAATAACCTACAGCTCGCTGTACAAAATTCCAACCGGCACCATATTTAGCATCATTTTTGCAAGATAGCACCTTACCAGGCTTGTTCTGAAAAGCACCAGAAAATAGCTTATTAATCTCAATGTCTAACTGGCAGATGGAATACAGTAAAAAACAACATGATTTTTGTCTTTCAGAGCTAGTAGTTTTTCAAGGTAAGATAAGCAACCATCTTCCAAATCTAAGACTTTGCCATTTTCATTTACAGATATTTGTTTACTCATAAATTTGTTCACTCTTTCATCCTGTGTTTATTGAGCATCTGTTTTCTTTCTGTCCAGCAGTCCTCAAGGCACTAGAAACAGAAAAGAATAAAATACATTCCCTTCTTTTCAGGAGCTTATGAGCTACACAATATGGTGAGTGCCAATAGTGATAGGGAAATGCAGGTGAGGACACTTGCCTCACCCTTGGGAGCAGGGAGTGGCTAAACAGAGGGTCTCTGAAGAAGACATTGTCATAAGGCCATGAGGAGTTAGGTGAAAGGACCACAGATCTACCATAGCAGTTATCTAAGGAAAAAATATTTAGAAGGGATAGTGCAACAGTAAATGAACTAAAGAGATCCTAAGGCAGAGAGAGCAGGGAGAACATTTTTGTACAACACATCGCCAAATGGATTTGTCCTGTGCTAATAGAGAACGAAAGAGAATTTGATCAGGGCAAGATGGCAGGGCAGGGGGTATAGTTAGCAGAGTGTCAACATTTAGGCATTTAGGTTTATTTCTATTTTTATTTACTGATTTATTTGGTGACTCCAGGAACTAGCTCAGATGTGCAGGCTGCAATAGCTACAATATCTAGCTCCCTGCAGTAGGAAAAAGACTCATGAACTAATCTGATAAAAGGTTCCTTTCATTCCTTCCGGTTTTACATGTCGTGCTCATTAGCATGACGAATAAAACCATAATTTGTATTCTCCATCAAATCACACCAGCAGCAGCTGAATGACATGGCCATTAATTAAAAGCAGAAATTGAATACAGCAGACTTGATGTTTTGTTTGACTGAAGAAACAAGAATAGATTTGTATTGACCTCTTGTTGAAAGGCACACATTACAGATATCTTGATGGAAGAGTTTTCATCAGAGGGTCAGTCCCAAACTTGTTTTTGTCTTTAACTCCTCTAGAGTATTTCTGGAAACCAACCACTTAGGTTTCTAGCTGTAAGTTCTTGCACTCAATCAGGACACACAGTATATTTTTGCCACCAAAATAGTAGTATAGCATAATAATTAAAAAGTTGAGATTTGGAACCACATAACCTAGTTTGCATCCAAACTCTTCCCCTTGTTAGCTCTGTGACCTTGGGCTGCTTGCGTAACTTCTCTAAGCATCAGTTAACTTATCTATAAAATCGAACAGTAATAATAGCTGCCTTATAAGGTTTTTATGAGGATTAACTAAGATAGTATGTGTAAGTCTAAGCTCATGGCTTGGCACATAGTAAGAACTTACTAAATATGAATTATTATTGTTGTTTTAGCTTAATCGGCTCCATTTTGTACTAAGTTATTTGAGGACCTAGCTCCCAAATCTTAGTTTTGTAGCTCCCCAGTGACAAGGACTGTGTCTTGTTCATCTTTGCATGCATAGTGTGTGACATATAGAATGCTATTTTATACTATATTGGCGCATATACATAAGAAAGACTAAAATTGTATTCTCTTATATAACTAATCTGTCATTTATTTGTGGTGTGATTTTGTTCAGGAAAGGCATAGCATATTGCCAAAGTTTTTGAACACTATAGTTGTAATTTATAGAACTGCAGGAATCCATGTCATAGCAATAATTTTCACCCTTCTTGTCCCAAAGAGATGCACTCCATACACAGCATTCTCCAGGAGACATACTCAGCATCAAGAACAACTCTTATATATTAGTTGTAACTCTATTCATATTTCTTCCATTTAGGAATGTAAGTTATTATGCAAATAATCAAGAATGACCCAGTGATAGGATAAGCTAAATTAATTTTTAAATCATTTTAAACATTATTATTTTAACTATCATTGATATTATGTTACATGGTGACTATATCAAATTCCTTCCATGAATTTTTTGAATTCTTCAAAATTCTGCAAAGTCAACATCTCTAATTTCTCACCATTTCCTTTTCACTTAGTCACTACTAGCTATCCCCTCCATGAAACTCTCTGTTCTCTTGGTTTTCATGACACCAATACGGCTGTTATTCTCCACTCAACCAAAACTCTTAAAGGATGGCAGTGACTACAAATTATGTCTTGTCAGTCCTCATTCTCTCTACCCTCTAAGCAACATTCAGTATTACAACTATTCAATCCATGAATGTCTCTTTCCTTTTGGTTTCCTTAACACCAAAAAACTCTCTTGCTCTTCCTCTTAGCCTTCTAACCACTTCCGACTCCAGTGATGTGCTTCTTCTCCCTCACCCACCTCCAACCTTGGGATTCTGCAGATATTTCCCAAGGCTCTCTTACTTTCTCTCCTACTCTCCCTTTCTTAGGGATATTATCCATTTCCAGTATTTTCACCATCACTTTTATGAGTATAACCTCTGCATATTTATCTCCTGGTTGACCTCCCTATCCCACTCTGATCCCATGCTACTAATGCTGCTGGATCATTTGGAAGTTCATCTGGCAACTCAAGTTCAATATACCTAAAATATGTATTGTTTCTCCACTAAAACCAGCTCCTTATCATTATTTTTGTCAGTAGATATTATACTTATCTTAGGCAGTCTTAAAAACCTTTAATTTTTTATAAGAGGTGGGGTCTTGCTCTGTAGCCCAGGCTTGAGTACAATGGTGGAATCATGGCTCACTTGCAGCCTTGACCTCCCAAGCCCAAGCAATCCTCCTGCCTCAGTCTCCCAAGGAGCTGGGACTACAGACATGCACCACCACACCTGGGTAATTTTTTTAATTTTTTGTAGAAATGAAGACTCACTATGTTGTCCAGGCTGGTCTTGAACTCCTGGATTCAAGTGATCTTCCTGCCTTAGCCTCCCAGAGTGTTGGGATTACAGGTGTGAGCCACTGCGCCTGGCCTTTAAAATCGTTTGAGTTAATTCTGGTACTCCTTTTTACCTCTACCTTTCTTTCTTTCTTTTTTTTATTAATCACCCCCTTTATTTCAATAAACTGTTTCTTGTTGCCTACGCCTCCTCTGCACTGTCTTTGAATCCCTCTATTTTCTACTTCCTCTGAATGGTACTGCCTGGCTGTAGACACAGTGAAGAACATGGTACAGGCATCACAGTCCAGCTGAGGCGAGAGGTATAAAGGCATTAGTTTCAATACAATGAGATAGAAGTAACAAAGAGATGCATTCCAGGGAAGAGAAGACGGAACACTTCTCAAAGGGAGTGACATAGAAGCCAAATCTTGAAAGATACATAAGAATCAGACTGGCAAAGGCGCAATGAACTTTTTGGAAATAATAACTTATACAAGGGAATGCAGACACAGAAGACCATATCTCACTGCTGAAGTGCAAGTAGCTCTGTAAGGCTGAAAGTGCTTCATGGAGGAGTAATAAGGGAAACAGAGGGTCAGGTTCCAGAGGTAGTGGGAATGGAGGGAGAGCGTTTAGGACATGATTTCAGTTATTTGTTGGTCATGTAACAAACCACTGTACATCTACATGCCCTAAAACAGCCTCATGTATTATTTCTTACAGTTCTTCAATTAGGCAGCAATCTTTCGGGGTGGTTCATCTCTGCTCCATGGTGGCATATGTTGGCATGGTTTGACTGGGGCAGGAGAATCCAGAAGCCTCACTCACTTGTCAGGACAATGATGCCTGGCTGGATTTCTCTTTTTTCCACATGGTCTCTCAAACCTGAAGTACAGGGAAGCTATCTTTTATGAGGGCAGAAAATGGAAGCTGTAGAGCTTTGTAAGGCTTAGGCCCAGAAGTCACATGACATCCCCTCCCCCACATTCTGTTGGTCAGAGCAAGTCACAAGACCAGCCCAGCTTCCAGAAAAGGAGAAAGAGACCCCTGCCTCCCTTTGGCAGAGCAGCAGGAATGTAAAGGCTATGTCAGCAGGCATCTTTGCAGATGTTCTACCACAGACCTTGTAGATCTCTGCATTCTGTGGGGAACTATTGTAAGATTTTAAGCAGCATACTGACATTTTAAACATGGATGTTTAAAAGTATGTCTTTGGCTTCTTTATAGAGATTGAATTCAGAGGTCAGGAGCCAGTACCTGGAAATAGGTTAACCTCAGAAAATTCTTCTCTGCATGCCCACATGCCTTACCACAACTTTTCCTCCTCATGGAAGCAGATGGAATGAACAAAATATAGCTGATGTTTTTTCTTTTTTAAAGCAAAATACAACCAAAGTACTGCCCAGGACTCTGTGCTCGTTCCAGAAAAATGGACTCACATCTGTTATGGGGGAGTAAATATGTAACACCGCAAATCCTTTGCCTAAAGCTTTTTGTTTAGAAATCATACTGCATTACAAACTAGAGTGATATAGTTAACAATAATATATTGTATATTCCAAAAGCGCTAGAAGATTTTGAATGTGCTCACCACAAAGAAATGATAAATTTTTGATCTGACAATTGTTCTGCTTTGATTATTATACAATGTGAACATGTATCGAAACATGAGACTGTACTGCATAAATATGTACCATTATTATGTGTCAATTAAAAATAAAATAAAACTTTCAATGAAAGAAATACTACTGCTTGCTTCTATTATATTACTGTTTCTATAAATAAACCAGACAAGTCAGATGTGACTTTCAGGGAGGGCAGAAATCTACTTTGTATTTGCAGGGGCTTTTTCTGTGTAAAAGCATGTGGGTGTATGTGACCATAAAGCTTGCGAGGGCATTTTATTTGTATGCAAAATTAACGCCTTGACCCTTGCCTGTAGTCCCTGCTACAGAGGTCTATAGGGGCAGCGCCTATGAAAAAAGCCACAAAAAATAAGTTGGCATAATTTGAAAGGTTGTATTACACCACCACAGTACTGAATCTCTTTCACGAATAGCAGTTTTAGTGTGTAGGCAATTGTAACTTGAGCAGAAGATGGCAGACACCTAATGCTCATCAAAGCTTCCTAGAGCAAACTGAGTTCTAGAGTCTGGGAATGGACAGCAGATGGTCCTTCTGGTTTTCAGGGATTTGTGTAGCCCCTTCACCTAGGGGTTTCTGGATCTGGGATTTCAATCTATAAAGAAAAGAGTCTCCCTTTATTGGTACGAGAACCTGAGGATGAGGTGGGAATATGGTCCCTCCTAGTCAGTGTTCAGGTACTTTCTCACCATCACTAAATATTTCATTAATGCTATGGTGAGCATGAAGATGATGTTCTTTCCCCACCCCCTTCCCACTACCATTGGCACCCAGAGGTCAGTAGCTAGAAGCCAGGCTCTTTCGGAGAGATTTGGTCTCAAATTCCAGTTTTGCCACTTCCTAGTTACATGACTGTGAGCAAACTCCTTAACCACTCTAAGTTTTGGTTTCCTCCTCTGTAAAATCTCAGTAATCATTGCACCTTCCTCGAGGGATTGCTTTGATGGACTAAAGGGAATAATATTTAATTGCACTTAATCCAGTGCATGCTACCAGTGCTCAAAAAGTTTTAATTGCTATTGTTTTAATGGGCTTCCTGCTGACCTTTGCTGTGTTTTTTTTCCTTTATTTCTCAGGGAGATGTTAATCTCTGTGGCCCTAGGCCAGGTGTTATCCCTCCTTATTTGTGGAATTGGCTTGACTAGCAAGTATCTGTCAGAAGATTTCCACGCCAACACACCAGTCTTCCAGAGTTTCCTCAATTACATTCTTCTCTTCTTGGTCTATACCACCACACTAGCCGTCAGACAAGGTAAGCTCACAAAAGCACCAGGAATATAACTTTTACAAACACCTAAAAAAAAGATGAGCCATGACCAGATAACGTTTTGTCACTTAAGCATCAGTTAAGATCATTGAAAACCCCAGATCTTACTTTTCTATTTTGCAGTAATACAGTAAACAAAATGAGTGAATAAATCACAAAGAAAATTAATCATATGAATTCAGCAAGAAGTGGGAACTGCATGTATAGGCAAAACTGTACAATTGCTCACTTTTTGAATCCCCGTTAACATTACTTCTACCCTCTCAGTGGAATTAAATGAGTTTTTCCCTGGAACTTGGAACAGGCCTGATGCAGATATTCTAAATAATGCTTGCTCTGAGAAATCCAAGGGAATTGCAGACAAATATATGTTCTGTGGGAAAGTGACACAAGAAAGATACAAATTGTAAACACAGACAACTCTATTAATAACATCACAGAAAAAGAAAAAAATAAAACTACCACAAATGGTCAGATGAGATGTGAAATTATTTTAAACTTGAAATAATTAAAGAAATAAAACAAGTCCTCCAAGAGCCAATGCAAGAAAACCTTTTTTTAAGGGGCAGTTGCAGTTGAAAAACCTCAGGGTGCATCCCTGGAGGGGATGATTCAGAGTCATGTGATATGCCACTGAATCCAGTGTGCTGTGGTTTGAATGTCCCCTCCAAAACTCATGTTGAAATGTAATTGCCACTGTGACAATATTAAGAGGTGGGAGTATTAAGTAAGATGTTACTAGGCCGTGAGGGCTTCACCGTCCTGAATAGATTAATGCCATTATCATGGGATTAATGCCATCAGCTAAATGTGGGTTTGGTCCCCCTCTTGCCCTCTCCTGCTCTCTCATGTGTGCTCTTGTGCCTGTCTGCCATGTGAGGATGCCGCGAAAAGGCCCTCACCAGATGTGAGCCCTTTAACCTTGGACTTCCCAGCCTCCAGAACCATAAGAAATAAATCTCTGTTCTTTATAAATTGTGCAGTCTCAGGTATTATGGAATATGTTATTCATTATAGCAGCACAAAATGGTTAGCACAAGGTGTAAGCACTTTTATCTATGGCTCAGAAATAGCCATCAATTTTCCCCAAAATAGTAGCTGTCAGCTGTAAAATGTGCATTGAAAAAAATCATTAATACATTTGGAGACCATTATATACATTAATAATAGATAAGGACACATGTATAGCTGTGTACATCAATTTCAATAGTCACACTTTTAGGAAACATGTATAAGACTATCAGTATTTAATTTTTACATTTATTTATTTGGATTACTGTCTAGAATAATAATGCTTAATTATAATGATTTGACCAATACTGGACTTCATCTCATAGGAGGAATAAATATGAACAAGTTGAGACTGAATTCCAGTTTAATTTTAATTTGTTTAAAGTATTGTAGAAGCTAATTTTATTTACTTCTCAAAAATTGGTGCTATCAATGCTTGTTTTTTAAAGTTTAACATCAATAGTCATTATTATTTTAAGAATAAAATAGGCCACCAAAGTTATTGACGTTGAATCTCAGCTATGTTTCCTGAGTGCGATTTGGAAGCTAATAGTTTTGAATGATGTAAATGTGTTATCTAAGTGTCAAAAAAAAAAAGCATGAAACTGCGTAAAATATTTGAAGAAATTTATTCTGAGCCAAATATGAGTGACCGTGGCCCCTAACACAGCCCTCAGGAGGGCCTGAGAACATGTGCCCAAGGTGGTCGGGGTGCAGCTTGGTTTTATATTTAATACATTTTAGGGAGACATGAGACTTCAATCATTTAAGAAATACATTGGTTTGCAAATACCGCATGTTCTCACTCATAGGTGGGAATTGAACAATGAGATCACTTGGACACAGGGTGGGGAACATCACACACCAGGGCCTGTTGGGGGTTGAGGGGCTGGGGGAGGGATAGCATTAGGGAAAATATCTAATGTAAATGACGAGTTGATGGCAAACCAACATGGCACATGTATACCTATGTATCAAACCTGCACGTTGTGCACATGTACCCTAGAACTGAAAGTATAATAAAAAATAAAATAAAATAAAATAAAATAAAATAAGAAATACATTGGTTTGGTCCAGTAAGGCAGGACAACTTGAAGCGCAGGGCTTCCAGCTTATAGGTGGATTTAAAAATTTTCTGAAACTATACTGCAAGATGGTACACTGTATTTAGTCTTTGAGTTCTTGTACATCTCACTTTTCAGGAATCCAGGGATTTAACAAAAACTTGAATCAGGAAAAAAAAAGTTAAGCCATTCTAAAGGGCAGGGAGAATTATTTCAACCATACCAATAATTTATAGGTAGAGGCTAAAAAAGCTTAGAAGATGAAATGTAGTAAAATGCCTAGAGTTAATAATTACAGTACCATCTATTGAGCCTTTATAATGCACTAGCCACTATGTATGTAAATTATCCTTTTTATTCCATCAATCCAAGGAAATAGGTATGATTATCCAAAATTTTATAAATGAGAATACCAAGGCTCTGACAGCCCAGGAAACTGCTTGAGGATATAGGAGAGCAAGGAGTAGAGGCCCATCCAACGCAGGGCTGTGAGGGCAGTGTGGCTTCAGGGCCCACCCTGCCACTCCTTGTGAGGTGCAGGGAAGGCAGGAGGAGGGAGCGGAGACCTTTTTGAAAAAAAGGAGAGGTTTTTTTCCTTTGAATTTCAAAACCCTGAATAGGAAACCAGCCCTCAGTGTAAGATGTAGTGAGATACCACTGTGCGGTCAGGAGGACTGTATTAGTCAGGGTTCTCTAGAGCCGCAGGACTAATAGGATAGATGTATATATGAAAGGGAGTTTATTAAGGAGTATTGACTCATGATCACAAGGTGAAGTCCCACAATAGGCCGTCTGCAAGCTGAGGAGCAAGGAAGCCAGTCCGAATCCCAAAACTTCAAAAGTAGGGAAGCCAACAGTGCAGCCTTCAGTCTGTGGCCGAAGTCCCCAAAGCTCCTGGCAAATCACTGGTATAAGTCCAAGAATCCAAAAGCTGAAGAACTTGAAGTCCGATGTTTGAGGGCAGGGAGCATCCAGCATGGGAGAAAGATAGAGGCCAGAAAACTCAGCCAGTCTAGTCCTTCCACGTTACTCTGCCTGCTTTTATCCCAGCTGTGCTGGCAGCTGATTAGATGGTGCCCACCCAGATTGAGGGTGGGTCTGAGTCTCCCAGTTTACTGACTCAAATGTTAACCTCCTTTGGCAACACCCTCAAAGACACACCCAGGAACAATACTTTCTATCCTTCAATCCAATCAAGTTGACATTCATTAACCATCACAAGGATGTCATAGACGATTTAGGGAGAGGGTTGGAGGTGGACAGGAAGAAAGACCAATGGAAAGAGGCTAAGGACTAGGAGCAGCAAGGAATTTGGAGGCTCTTTAGAAAGGAAAGGCTGAAGAGGGCTAGGGAAATTCTGACTACCGATACCAGTCTGTGATGGAGAGAATCAATTTCTAAAATACCCTCTGGAGATTTTTACCATTGCCTCAGATCCTCACTAAGTTTGCTGGCATGTCTTCATTTGGGTGTTTCCTCAGAATGATTATTTGTTTTAAGCTTCATCTTTAGAAGTTTTAATAGGCTGGCATTAAGCTAACATCTGGAAATGAACATAATAATTACATTAATTTTCTATAGGCTGATTCAGTACTATGTTCTGGAGACATACTAATCTTTCTAGTCAGGCACCTGAAAATTTGGGAAAGAATGAACAACAAAGAGGGAAGGATGGAAAGTGTGGTGTGTGCAAGGGAGAGTCTCATAGTCACAAGTTCTCCTTTCTCACCGCTCCGAGAGCTGCAAGTTAGGTCTGAGCCACGTGTTGCCACTCTGGGCCACCTATCAGCATGAAGTTAGACTCAGAAATACATTTTTAAACAAATCTTTCTTTATAGTTTTAATCATGTATCTTCTAAAATTTAATGATTGTCACATTTAAAACAATGTGCTAAATGCAAGAAACCTTTCAAGAGCATTAAGGGTGAGGTTATTATGAAAGCCTTGCTTAAATTTGACTTCAAAGTCAAACTGAATTCTCCCTATCAAAATTTCACTGGAGTCACGATCAAAGACTCTGAAGCAGCAGGCTCCACTGTAAGTTCCAAAATGAATTGGAGTTGAGTTTGCCCTTGATTATTAATTGATTCTTACAAAAATTTGGGTACTATCTTCCTTACAAAATATCATATCCAGTTGAGCAAATTTTAAGTCTAGCCCTCTTTATAGTTGGAACACCTCTATATAGGTGTTCTTCCAGATGGTTCTAAAATTTTTAAAAAATGCTCGGCTGGGCGTGGTGGCTCATGCCTGTAATCCCAGCACTTTGGGAGGCCAAGGCGGGCAGACCACGAGGTCAGAAGATCGAGATCATCCTGGCTAACATGGTGAAACCCCGTCTCTACTAAAAATACAAAAAAATTAGCTGGGCGTGGTGGCAGGCGCCTGTAGTCCCAGCTACTTGGGAGACTGAGGCAGGAGATTGGCGTGAACCTGGGAGGCAGAGCTTGCAGTGAGCAGAGATCGCGCCACTGCACTCCAGCCTGGGCCATAGAGCGAGACTCTGTCTCAAAAAAAAAAAAAAAAAAAAAAAAAAAGTGCTTACTGTTCATAACAAAGACCTTCAGAAATACAACTTTGTAGAAAGAAATGTACTCCACCAAAGTAGTTTTGTTGACATTGTATGAAGTTTGAGAATTTAGGTAAAACAGAGATAACTGTTACATCAATAGCTTAATTGTAACCACTTTGAGAAGTTAGTTAGGAAATTAAAATGTACCCACTGAAATAAAGCCTGAAATCCAAACAACTCATACAAAGTGACTAAGGAATGTGACTAAGAAAGTACAGTGAAGCTTCCAAAAACGTATGCGTTTGCCTAGGGAACTCTCAAAAGATGACTTCTCCTTGTATCTACTATCTTCTTAAAATTCCACGTAATTACAGCTGAAATCAGGAAGCAGAGGAACAAAATGCTGAGATTATGAACCAGAGGCGAGGACAGACTGGGGTCCAATGAAGACCACCAGGACTTGCTTTTGTGATGTAAGAGTAAGAAATGTGACAGACTTTTAAAGACAAAGGTGAAACTAGGATACAGTTCCTATCAAGAAAACATGTATCATCTAACTTTTTGCCCATAAGTTTCTCTTGTCTGTTATGACAAAAATCGTGCTGCTTCCCAGAGCTACCTTTAAATTTTTAAATAATAGATACCCATGATTCCTCTTTTAGCAGTTTTTAACTTCTGAGTGTATATAAATCATAAAAACTTTAATAAGCAATAATTTCCTCTTCCCTTTCTTCTGCTACCATTTTTCCACATTCTTGTTTCTCTAATTCCTTTTTGTTTTCACACCAGCAATTTACTCATTGCTGGAGGAGTAAAGGCAGGATGCTGAGGGTAAAAAGAAAACACTTTTAGCCTCTGTTTTCCTCCTCAATTTCCTCCTCAACTCATAGTGGTAGGGAAAAAATGGGTATCAGTAATGAAAGCATGACTAGAATCATAAGTGTCTGCTTCTTTTTATATACAGACCCTGAAAATAAAAGAAAATGTTGCCATCATTGAGTGTTATGAGTACTAACAACTTCAATATTCTTGGTGACTGGTTCTGCAAGTTTTGCTTTTTCATTGAAAAGTGTTCTTACGAGCTCTTCCAATTTTGATAAAAGACAAGCTTCCAGCTAAAAGCAATTTGATGAGTATGGCATGTGTTTTGCTTTTCAGTGAATTATTGAAACATATACATGAAACTATTTATTGAATCATGTATCTGTTTCTTTGTGTGAGTGTAAAAATGAAACAAGTCTCTAATAGTGCTAATAGAACACTCATAAAAATATCACCATGTAGAATCCCTTTGATTTTTTTCAAAGAAAGAATACTGAAAAGTGAACTGCATGCTTTACTCTTCATGAGAAATACTCACATTGAGCATTAAATTCTAGCAGATGGAAATCCTAGAGGTCTAGGTTCAAATGTTAATTGTAAGTGCGAAGACTGAAGCAAGGAAGTTAGTTAGGTATTCAAGCACCTGTGCTCTCCTGGCCCCTTCTGCTTACATCCCCTTTCTCCACCCAGAATATTCAAGTGGGGCAGAAGAGATAAGAGAAATATATAAATATGACAGCCCTGTCTACGCATACAGCTGGACGCAAATCATGACCCAATGGTCCAGTCCCACAAACCTTGGCATTTTAAATAAAAATTCTTCTGAGAGTTTGTGCCAAGAAAGTATCCTGCTATTTTTTTTTTTTTTTGAGGAGGTTGGGGGTGGTAGCCGAGGAAGCATTAATTAAGAGGTAATTGTTGTTTCTTCCAACTCAATAAAGGCTTCGTATTTGTTCTCTACAGAAATACTACATTTCTTACATACAATTACATAGGCTAAATTCTCCATGACCAATACCACATGTAAAATACTTACATAATTAGAAGAAATAGAGAATTTCATGTGAAATAAAATAGGCCTATCAGATAGCCACAACAAAGGCTTGGAAACTTAGGTAGCCAGCATTTCCCCGTATATCAGACCCTAGAGTCACCTGAAGATCTCACCTCCCCAGATCCGTGAATGTGCCTCTGCCTCTGTGAATCTTTGCCCCCTACTTTCATTGCAGTTTTCTTTAATGCTTCCCATAGGCAGTCAAAAAAAAAAAAAGCAGTGAAAGAATTAAACCAGGACCTAGGATTTTCTCAGAGCAGAAGCCCGAGTTCTGCTCACTCACAGCCCAGTTCTCAGTTCTCTGGGTAACACTGACTAAATCACTGAGAAGGGACTGTTATTAGCATGTGGGCATAATGAGAAAGCATTTGGCAAATGTAAATACTAAATTATAACTCCTTTGGGAGTCATGGGAGAAATAGTACTGTCACTTACCTAAGTCTGGTGAGGTAATATTCACTGGAGCCTCTTAAAAAGTCTCCCTTGTGGGAAATTACTTGGCAAATCTCCACCCCTATTTCTTGTCAGGTTGCATTTATTTTTACTTCCTAAGTATGATTGGAGAATTCTAGTCCCCACAGTATAAAGATTGCACCTCAGGGATTTCTGAGATGAATCTTTGGTAGATGCTTCATGGGAATTATGCTTCATGGGAATTATGCTTATGTTGTCTAGGAAAAGAGAACAGATTTGGGGCTGTGATGTTATACAAATATCATGCTGGGAAATTGGTAGAGAAAGTCACACAAGAAAATTAGAATCCACTTCTAGCAAAACTTCCTCCCAGTAGGTAGAGCAACTGGAACTCTCATATACCACCTGTACGTGGGAATACACATGGTAATGCTGCTTTGGAAAATAGCTTGTCATTGTCTTATAAGGTTAAACGTACATTTGCCATGTGACTCAACAATTGCATTTTTACAAGAGATGAAAACATAATGTCCCTGCAAAGATCTACATACAAATACTCATTGCATCTTTATTCATAATTGCAAAAAACTAAACTACCCAAGTGCCCATCAGCTTATGAAAGGATAAAAAAATTACAGTTAATTCATGCAATGGAATGTCACTGACCAATAAAAAGAAATAAGCTACTGATACGTATAATAGTATGGGTTAATCTCAAAAGCATTACACTAAGTGCAAGAATCCAGACGTGAAAGTTTACATAGTATATAATTACATAGTGCATAGTTATACAATGTTCTGGAAAACACAAAACTATAAGGACAGAGAATAGATCAGTGGTTTCCAGAGCGTGGGGTAGTGGTGGGAGGATACTGACTGCAAAGGGCACAAGGAAATTTTGGGAGGATGGAAATGTTCTGTGTATCTCGATTTTTGTAGAGGTTACCTGACTATATACATTTGTTGAAACTCTTCAAACTATACACTTAAAAGGAGAGAATTTTATTGTATCTAAGTTGTACTTCAATGCATCTGACTGAAGTGGGGAAAAAAAAGAAAATTAACTACTATAACTCGGCCGTTACCATGATGGAATAAGTTATCACTGGGCCTAGAGTTTACAATATGCAGCTATTCCCTCAGTCGCTTAGAGATATTAGGACATGCTGGTAAAACTTCCCACTTCCTTGTGGCATCCTTTTAGACAACAAGAATGAATACTGCTTCCCAAAAATTGTACCTGCATCAAGGAACTTGCTAGTGTTACATGAACTATCAAGCTTAAGTCCACCAAACAATACAAAACACACACATTCCATACATAAGCAGTGCTTACAGTGCTTACAGGGTGAATCTGCACCAAATAGAGTCTCCCACAGTCTTAACGAAACTTATAGTATCCAATAGTGCATTTCGTGTGTGTGCTAATGTGTATGAATCTTTTCTTTCTTTTTTTTTTTTTTGAGGCGGGGTCTCACTCTGTCTCCCAGACTGTAGTGCAGTGGTGCGATCTCGAGAGGCTCACTGCAACCTCTCCCTCCCAGGCTCAAGCAGTTCTCCTGCCTCAGCCTCCTGAGTACCCAGGATTACAGGCACGTGCCACTACCACCCAGCTAATTTTTGTATTTTTTAGTGGAGACGGGGTTTCACCATGTTGGCCAGGCTGGTTCTGAACTCCTGACCTCAAATGATCCACCCACCTCGGCCTCCCAAAGTGCTGGGATTACAGACCTGAGCCACCGTGCCTGGCCAATGTGTATGAATCTTAAAGAGAGTGATATCTTACATAGAACTCTCAGTATCACTTAGTACAATAAATGACTTATAGATGGAAGGAAATTGACATGAATATGTAACACCATCTACTCTTAATGAATCCTTACATAAACTTATACACAAACACACTCACACTCACACACACACACACACACACACACACTCTATACATCAGACATTGCTTCATTCCCCCATGCCAAATACTTTATTAATGAATGTCTTCCTGATTCTTTTATTTTAAACAGCATATAAGCTCAAGGGGAGAGGCTGTCTGCCTGTTTTATCTGGAGTCCATGTTGACTGTTAATTCTGGAAATCTTTAAGCATTCATCTATCCATGCTGAGAGCTAGCATAGAGAAATACTCATTCCTGGCACGCAGCTCCATCTTTCATGTGGGAGATTGAAGGGTGGTTACAAGATGATAACTGTATTGCCTGAAGGAGATAAGTCCCCTTCTGCCAAAATAGTGCTTTGTATGTAATTAGTGTAAAAATTCAGAGGAATAGAGTTTATCTTTACAATCATCTTTCTCATGAAAAAAGAATCATAATGGAAGAACAAAGCAGTCCCTGCAGTGAACTGAATTGCTTTCCCTAAGTTTTCATTAAATCAAAGACTCAGCAGTTAGCCATCTTGCAGACACTATTGCAGTCTACTGCATGAGATTTGCAGGAAAGAAAAAATGAAGCAAACAGTTTTTTTTGTTTAAGACTTAGAACTGCATAATAATTATCTCTGGATCATAATTTCCTGCCTATGCATTTTTTGAATGTCTAGTTTCATTGGTTTCCCTTTCTAAGATTTTTGAGGACTCGAAGAAGCATCATCATGTAACTCACCAAATTTAAATGTGATACTTGTTAGGACTTTTTACAAGTTAAAGTGATTGGGCTCTTTTAGTGGTCTATATGAGGAAAAACATAAAGGAAATAACTCCAAATAAAACAAAATATGATTAGAATTTATGTTTCTGGCCATTTTTTGTTTTACTATTTGAAGCTTCTTCCAAAAAATAGAGTGAATATCAATTTTTTGTCTTTAACTGCCTAATTACTCATTTCTAAGACAATGTCTATCTTTAAGACTCATATTTAGGAATTACTACTTAAGTCAACTAAATTAAAATATTATTTTAAACAATTAGGATCTGGGCTTTTCTTATTTCTCAATTCAGTCAAAATTCAAGAGTCATTGAGTCACCCTAATGAGTATCTATAATTTGTCTGTGCTGTATTTCATCATTTCATAAGTCAGGATAATAATAGTAAATTCTTTACAAGTTTCATGTGGGTTAAGATGATGCATAAAAAACTTATAGGACAGTGTGAGGCATACAGAAAACAATAAACTGAATATAATATGCCATCATCAACATTAGATTTGCTTACTAAATATTGATTCTTCTCAGCAAGTTGGATTTTATACATGTAACCCTTAATTTGAATAAATTCTACCATGGAGACTCTGAAATTCAATGACCATATTCCAGCATATATGTTCTCCTTCACTTGGCCCTGGATGCCAGAGTAGGCACAAGTGTAATTCATAGAAGGATCAGAAATAAAACAGTCATTTTAGATATTTTCTTACCACTTCAGTGGCCACTGTGAGAGAACTCACTGATATAATTATTATACTAGCCCATGACTAATTCCTAAATGCACAAGCTCAGAGACCCCTCCCCCAGGGTATAGAGTCAGAGATTTTCTGCCTGAGAAAGCTAAGCCAAGAGGAACAATAGGAACCCCAAATCTTTGTTCAGAAGGAGCCAGAGCCACCCTTGGACTTCTAGGCATAACTGCACCCAGATGGTCCAAGCTATGAGAGATTATAAAGGGGAAGGGAGGGTTGCCAAAGGAAGAAGTGGAGAAAACAATTTCCTAGGCCAGTGCTTGTTCTAGAGTTTTCATCAGAACTGAGAAACCTTAAGGCAGAATTACTTCCCACCCTTTCTCTCCCCTTGTTTGTGTGTGTGTGTTTTCTAGCTCTTCTCACATTTCCTCTCTTCACCCCAGCTTTTTCCTACTCACACAGCCTTAACTAATAGACAAATGGGGAAAAATGGTAAGAAAAGCATTCCTACTCCCTTGACTGAGACAGAACTTTTATTACAAATCCAGACATTGCAGAGAAGATCCAGATTCTGTTTAAGTCATGTCTGGAGTAAAACACTCCCAAGTTACTATTCTTTGCTCAAGAAAAGGCTCAGAGCACTAGGGTACCAATCAAAATAAAGCATGCTGTAAATGAAGCTTGACCACCTTCTTTCCTGAGTGTTTTCTCTTCCACAATACACATAGAATGCATTGTAAACTGCAACCAACTGAATATACATGCCATACAGAAAGCAGTGCAGCTCCAAAGCAGCTGGGAACACCTAATTTCCATTTGGCCTGCTGACCGAGGTACATGTCAACTGCAGAAGGTGAGGAAAAAGAAGTGTGATTTGGCCAAAGCCAGGACAGGATGGCATTCTTGCCCCTGATAACTTCCAGCAAGGAATCAGGTTTGGGCACAGGAGCCATAGATACTTTGGAAGACCCTATCATTACAACAGTAGAAATATTCAGATGCATTACCAGAGGGAAAATTGGGTCACTGTTTATAACCAGAATTCCAAATCTCCACCAATTATTTGGAATAATCAATGAACAACACATCCCTGTTAAGGCCATCACAGTGGAAACTACAGTAAGAACTCTGTAAGAGATCTGGCCTTACTAATGAACTTCTCCAAAGACAAGAACTATCCTTAGATGAGGTCATTAAAAGAAATTGGTCTCCCATTTTTAGGCAAGATAAGAATGTTCTATTTCAGAGTTGGAAAATAAAATCAGGGTGGGGAGAGGAAAAAAATTAAAAATAATGCAAGATTAAAAAAAAAAGAGTTGCAAAATGCTCTGAGAGAACACAAAGCATTGGAGGCTACAAAGCCACTTCTGGTGGAGAAGTGGCCACTAGGGTATCATTTGAGAAGGGGAGAAGGCCATGATATCACAGATCATGAATGGAGCTGTTGCTCAGCCATTGCTGAGCTGGAGGAGTGGGCTATGGACAAACTCAATGGACTACTGGGGCCTTACCAGATTCAAAGCAGCAGGTTCTATACCTACAAGTAGATTTCAACGTTTGGCTTAGTGGATGTCATTTGCTGAGGTCGAAATTTCCAGCTGTGCAGTGTTAAACTCGGGATGATTATAGCACAGCTTTAAACAAGCTATTGATTTTAAACTTTTGTTAGGCTAAAAGAAACTAAGTTAGATCATTCAGAAGCAAGTGAAGAACTCACCTTCTAAAAATAAAGTTAAGGAACTTGGTAAGTAACTTCTTTTCAACAGAGAAATGTGTGGGCATAGCTTATGTAAGTGACATAAATGTAGAAGTCTCTGCACTGTTAAAAATTGTAAGTTATTTACTACATGGAAACTTATTAAGTCTCTACCCCTGTTTTCTATTATTTGGACCTCAGATGTGTTGAGTAATCTAGACACCCAAAAGGAAAGTCATTGGTGAACGTGTTCCTATACTGAGAGTGTCTCTTAACTGAAGGAGCCAACCTGGTACGCAAGCCAAGGATGCAACTTGAGTTTTATACTTTTAGTTCTGAAGAGTTTTATACTTTTAGTTCTGCCCATGATTACTTTATATAGAACCTTCCAGAAGGCTCCAAACTGATTACATCTTATTCAGATTTCTCTTATATAAATTTCAGTTCCTCAGTCCCTTATTTCTTTCTTCATGAATTCACTCGTTCATTACTTCATTCACTATTCATTTATTCAGCAAGTGCCTTCGGGGGGCTTTCTTCGTCTGTCAGTCACTGTGCTACGAGATGCGAAGGATCCCTAATTGAGTAAAGATGATCTCCCTTCTCCTACCCCCTCCAAGTTCACAGATAAGAGGAGGAGAGTGACGAGTAAAGAGTCCCTGTAACTGCGCAAGAGTACAAATCTGAGTGCCACCCTTTCCCTTATCTTCACCAAACTTTAATTGCAAAAGCATTTACAGTCATGCCTCACTTAATATAGGGATATCTTCTGAGAAATGCGTCTTTAGGTGATTTCGTCATTGTGCAAACATCATACAGTGTACTTACACAAACCTAGATGTTATAGCCTACTACACACCTAGGCTACATGGTTAGCCTATATGGTAAAGCCTATTGCTCCTGGGGTACAAACTTGTACAGCATGTTACTTACTGTACCAAATACTGTAGACAATTGTAACACAATAATGAGTATATATTTGTGTATCTAAATATATCTAAATATACTAAAGGTACAGTAAAAATATGGTATAAAAATAAAAAGTGTACACCTATATAGAGCAGTTACTATGAATGGTGCTTGCAAGGCTGGAAATTGCTCTGGCTGAGTGGCAAGTGAATGTGAAGGCTTAAGACATTACTGTACCCTACTGTAGATTTTATAGACACTATGCACTTAGACTACACTAAACTTACTTAAAAATTAAGTAATTTCATTATGATGTTATGATAGCTATGACATCACTAGGCAGTAGGAATTTCTCAGCTCCACTAACATTTTGTAGGACCACCATTGTATACACAGTCAGTTGTTGACCAAAACATCGTTATACAGCACATAACTGAACCTCTCTATCATCCACTTCACCACTCTTCTCTCCATCCAGCTCCAGTCCTGTCTTCCCCACTTATTCACAGCAGAATAATTCATTATAACCGCTAGAATCAATAGTTTGCTGTTTCATGGCTTCCCCTTAGCCTTTCTTCAGTTGTTCACATGCAAAGGGATTTTGCGCAAAGGGACCCTGACTTTGCATTAAGAAGAGCAGCTTCTGTTCTTCCAGTCCCTGCGCTGTCTTCCCCTCACCTCTTGCCCCAACTATCTCTCTTGGAGAATACTGCACAGACATCATCCACTTCCTTTATTTAGACTTAGTTGTGGCCGCTTCTTGGTTGCTGGGCTTCTATGAACTAGACCAGAAGGCTATTTTGATAAATATAATATTCCCCCCTTATTCTCATGGAATACATCCCAAGACCCCCAATGGATGCCTAAAACAGCATATAGTAGAGAACCTTATATATATATTATGTTTTTTCCTATACATACAGGAATACCTATGGTAAAATTTAACTTATAAATTAGGCACAGTAACAAAAATAACATAATAAAATAGAACAATTATAACAATATACTGTAATAAAAGTTATGTGAATATGGTCTCCCTCTCAAAATACCTTATTGTACTGTACTCACTTATTTTCAGACGGTGGTTAACGATGGATAACTGAAACCGTGGAAAGTGAAAATGCAGATAAGGGATATGAGTCACTTCCAAGACTCTTAACTGTCTCGTCTTCCTTTACGAGCAGTTATATATAGGTCAGTGGTCTACAGCAACTGACTTCAGACCCAAGTGACCCCTCTATGTAATGGCAAACTGGCTTTACTCCTTTTCCTGGTGATTTGGGAATATACTTTCAGCCCTTGCTGGTATACTGAATTTAAACTCTTTTGAAATTTCTAACAAGTCCCATAAAATATTAGAAAACCACTATAATCTTATGTTATAAAGTGACCAAGTGAAAACACGGTGGAAGATATCAGGGTTCATGGGCTTTATCCTAGTATCTGACAGAGAACAAAGATATACAACAACTCACTGGGACTGTTAGCATCTGCAGAGGGGCAGGAAGAGAGAGCAAAATATCAATTTTTTAACCAACTAGCTCATCTCATTTTCTGAGTATGCAGCATGCTCCATTCAGCAAATGTTCTTCACATCTTTCAGAGTATTCGATTACCATATCATAGTATTCTAGAGGAGTAAATTAATGGTGCCTCTGATAGCAACATTGCAATATGCACAATTTCCACTAGTCCTAATGTGTTTTCAGAAAGTATCACAGGTAAATATTCCAACCAAATGTAGCAATGATCACTCCTTTGAAGAAAACATTATTGTGTCCTATTAATCTTATACCAAAATTTATGAGCAAAATCTATTCACGGCTTCACCTGCAAAGCATAAAGGGAATTTTCCCCTAGAGAAGGTCTCTACAACCCCACCACAAATATCTCCCATATATCTATGCAGCCTCCCATGGCTAACATTTAAGCAGACTCAACAAATGAACTTAAAGAACCCACATTATCTCTGGTTGGAGATTAATTTGGTTGAAGAACATATTGACTGATGCATAGTTGTCGTCAGTTAAATTTCATGATGATCTATTGAGCTGTGTTCCCAACACTATGAGACCCTTACAGATGCGCTCTCTCGATCCACATCAGCCCTATCACTGCCCCCAGCCAAGCCACCCATCGCGTCTTACCTGGACTGCTACTACCACCTTTGAACTGCTTTCTGTCTCTGATACCTGCCCACCTTCATCCCAATAATCCCTCTTTTAAAACATTATAGGCACTGGATGACCATGTAAACCTTTCATCATTTATGACATAAATTGAAATCAGGATTTAAAAAAAAACAGGGGAGGAATTGGTTAATAAAAAGTGATTATTTTCCATTTCTATTGAAATCAAATCAACATGTACTTCTGTGCTCTATTCTGTGAGCCAAAATAAGATCTTTTAATAAGGATTCAAAGAAACTCAAAATCAAGAATTTAGCAACTAGGATGTTGCTATACCTGCTTTCTAATTAACCTGTCTAGTTGAGGAAAGGAGGCCAAAGATGTACTATGCTAATTTTTGTTCTTTGAGCAGAGTGTCTTCTAAAACGCAGGCTAAGTTGCCTTGGATTTCAGAGTGGGAAACTTTGATCCTAATGTAAAAAAGCAAATAATATTTCAGGCACAAATTTTATAACAAATAATTTTGATTGATATTGCACTCTTTATTCAGCATTTTTGCTAAACTCAAAGAACCCCATTCATCTCTTACTATATGGAACTTCCAATTAAAATCAATCCAATTTGATTGAGAGTTAAAATAAATGGAAAGATCTCCTTAATAAAAATCTTTGAATCAAATATATTTGTTGGACTGCTTCTAAGGCACATGCCCACTTTATAGAATAGATATAACATGCTAATATGTCCACTTGCTAATATGTTTATATGCTAAATTCTACAAAGAAGCCGTGGAGAGCCAAGAGACTCTGAGACTATATTTGAGGTGATAACATTATAACCATTTTCTTTTTATTTTTCTTTGAGACAAGGTATGGCCCTGTCACCCAGGCTGGAGTGCAGTGGTGCAATTTGGACTCACTGCAGCCTTTGCCTCCTGGGCTCAAGCCTTTCTTCTGCCTCAGCCTCCCAAGTAGCTGGGACTATAGGTGTGCACCACCATGCCCAGCTAATTTTTGTATTTTTTTATACAGACAGGGTTTCACCATGTTACTCAGGCTGGTCTCAAACTCCTGAGCTCAAGCAATCCACCTGCCTTGGCCTCCCAAAGTGCTGGGATTACAGGTGTGAGCCAGCCACACCTGACCTCATTTTTAAGTTTACTTTAATCTTTTAAATTACCCAAGTAAGACATGAATATAAACAGTAAGTGTTTATGTAAATATAAACATTTCAAATATAGACATAAATATAATTTTTTTAAAGTAATAGTTTGTCTCATCTACCATAAATCCCATTCTCCAAAGGAAGTCTTGTTAAATTTTGTTATTTATCTTTCATGGCATGTTTCTGTGCATATGCATTTATATACATAATTATAATGTGTTTTTGTGTAAATGCTAGAAACTAAACAAACTGTTCTGCAGCTTGCTTTTTTCTTTGTTCTTCTTTTTTCTTTTGGAAACAGGGTCTCTCTCTGTCACCCAAGCTGGAGTGCAATGGCTTGATCATGGCTCACTGCACCCTTGACCTCCTGAGCTCAATAGATCCTCCTACCTTAGCCTCCCAAGTAACTGGAACTACAGGCTCACACCACTATGCCCTGATAATTTTTATATTTTTTGTAGAGACAGTGGGGTTTTGCCATGTTGGCTAGGCTGGTCTTGAACTCCAGGGCTCAAGAACTTTGGCCTCCCAAAGTGCTGGGATTGCAGGTGTGAGCTACCATGCCCAGCCTGCAGCTTACTTTTTTCACTTTAGTTGTTGTGATAACATTGATAAGCCCACAGTTAGTGGTCATACAAATTGTTTCCAATTTTGAATTATTCCATCCATTTTTATAGAAAACATATTTATAGGTATATCTTTGTATACATGTGAGTGTATCTTGTTTACATTTCTAAAAATAAATGCTGAGTCAACGGGCATTCTAAATATTAATAAAAATTCCCCTTCACAGTCCTTCCCCAAAAAGAACATTACCAATTCAAAAGCCTATTCTTGGTATTCAAGAGTACCTATTTCCCCACTTAAGTGTCACCATTGAATATTATCAGTAATTTTCTGGTCAGTCTGAAAGGTGAAAAATATTTTATTGTTTTATATTTCATTTCCTTAATTACCAGTAAAATGAGCTTCCTTTTATATGTTTATTGGCAACATGAAATAACTTTTAAGTCCTAAAGTAAAAATGTGAAATCATAATGATCTTGGTGTAAGAGTGTGTCCCAGTGGACTCCTTTTCTTCTTTCTTTCATATAGTCTCTTGTTTCATCTTCTCATGAATTAGTGCAAAAAAAGGGAAAACAAATGAGCCCTGTGATACCTTCCTCTGGAAGAATGCCACTGCCAGAGCATTGGATAATAATATAGGAATTTATACCATCCATAAACCTTTTATAGTAGTGTAATTAGTAGGGCTATTAATACTACCCAAGCCTGGCTTTCTTTATTGCTGTAAACACAGCTTGTGATCACATAAATGACGTCAGTAATAATCCTTCAGGGCATCATGTAAGCCAGAGTACTTGAGTCAGTTTAGCTAGGGTTTAATCAGAACCTCCATTCAAAAAAAAAAAAGACGATTCTTTTTGCTTAGAAAGCAGAGTATGAGGGATAACCCTTGGACATCTTCCAACATTTGGATTTTGGGTTCCATGGTAGGTTTACTGGTGTTGAATGGGCAGAGTGGATTAGAGACATAGAGGAATTTTAGCCAGTTATCAGTGCAAGGTTATGCCCTTCAGCCAAATGTATCCTGCCTTTTTCTATAACCTAATGTCACCTACATATGGTTTTCTGCACTCTTGTGGCATTTTTATTAACGTCTCATCCAAAAAAATGAAGTGAACTTAATATATACTCTTCCTGTCTCTTTAAAAAATAATGAATGTTATATAGAAGTAGGTTGCAGGAATCCCAAATCTGTGTAAATTAGCAGCATGGTCTAGATAACTGCTGTGTGAATCAAGACAGTAAAATTGTGTTCAAGAATAGTCTCTACTGTGGTTTATGTTCTTTCCTTAAGCAGGCTACCTTAAGGAAATCTGTGGCTCAGATTTCCTGGCTCAAAAAAATGGGGATATCTGTCAAATAAAAAGTATTTATTAACATATTTATATGCTTGGAGATATGAATTTGTAATTGTGGTTGTTTCATTAAAATGTTAATCTATTTGATGATATTTGAGAGTCAGTATCCAAGTGTATGTGACTTTTTTAGGGCTGGCTATTCATTTATTTAAGCCACAGCTCTGAATAAAACTAGTATATTTCAGGATGAATAAGATTTTCTGAAGCAACAGGTGAAACAGTTTATTCAACTTGGATGAACATTGACAAAGAGAAGCACACAATTAAATGAAGGAGAAAGAAATAGTGCACAGTGAATTTGTTTTTATAATCATACTGTGCACTATTTCAAGCACCATCCAAAGGAGAAAGGAAAAGATAATGAGAATATACAGCACATCATCTTTAATCCCCACAAGCATCCCATAGGTCATCTTACAGATGAGACTCAGAGAGGTTAGGTAACTTACTAAAAATTATGTAGTGACTTCTGTTTAGGATATAGTAAGCCACAAAAGATCAACTCTCATTCTATCAACAAAAACAAGCCTGATAAGCTGTAAAATTACAGTTTTCTGAACCCAACAGAAAGCTAAGGATGAAAAGAAACCTAAATGTACAAAACTCCAGAAAATTTCATTTGTAGGAGGAAAAATATTCATACTTCTCTCATCCCTAACAGATTACGAAAAAAAAGAATCCATCATAGAAAGAGTTAGTTAAAAAAAAAACAAAAAACAAAAAAAAAACAGCCAAAACTTTAGGTTTTAATGGCCACATATGGACCGGTGAGGCAGATTATAATTCTAAAGGACCTCAGCCACAAGGCAGGTCTACATATACCTGCAAACTCTGTTCCATGAGTCTTCACCTAGTGCTGGGCATGTGATATACCACACACTATACGGTAATGCAGGAGAGCTAAAAGCGATCCTAAGTGTGTGGAGCCTCCCAGTGCATGGCAGTCATCCTTTGCAGACGAAGGAGAGTAGTACAGAAGATCTGAGAGAAATGAGTTTAAGATACACCAGACTTTCAGCTGCCAAGCAAGGTAGGACTGGAGAACTGAGAGAAATCTTTTTGAGACATTTCAGGCAGAGAAAGAGAGAGAATTCCATAGGTGCAGAAACCCTGGTACAGGACTGGAGAGCAAAGAGAAGTCTCAAAAGCCCAAATAACAGCTGAATTGTAAAGCAAAGAGATACATCTAATGTTTCAGAAAGCTGGAAGCGTAGTTGTAAAGTGCAGCAATCTCCGGAACCTCACCCAGCACTCAGATTCCATGCCTGAAGAAGAGTAAGTACTGATTCTGCTCTCAAATTATTTGAAGACAATGGTAAACTAAGTCAAACTAAAGTTGCAAGAAAGACCAATCCCAGTTATCAGATGGACTCTGTTTCTCAATCAACAAGCCTGACACAAGTGAAATGGCATGGACTTAGAAGTAAATATTGCTTAGTTCAGTCTCTACTGTTTTTTTATACAAAATGTGCAGATACAAGTAAAAATGACTAGACATGCAATGAAGCAAGAAAATGTGACACATGGTCAAGAGAGAAAGTAATCAATAGAAGCAGACCCAGAGATGTCATAGATGTTAGAATTATCAGCAAATTATCAAACTTAACTATGATAAAAATCAAGTTCCAGTGGGATCAGTCAACAACATTCATGAAGACATGGGAATTTCACGAGAGATCAGGCACCTATTTTTAAGATAGTCAAATGGGAATGCTACAAATAAAAAACACAGTAAAAGAAATGAAGAATGTAGGACTCAACAGAGGAAAGAATCTGAATTAGATGGCAGGTAGGCACAAGGTATCCAGTTAAAACAGAATAAAAAGGAGAGGAGAGGAAGAAAAACAGAATGGAATATCCAAGGTGTATGGGACAATATTAAATGATCCAACATGCATGCAATTGGACTTCTGGAAGAAAAAGAGGGACAATGGTGCAGAATAAATATTTGAAGGGATAATAGCTGAGAATTTTCCATATTTGTTGAAACACATCAAACAGATCCATGAAGCTCAGCAAATCCCAAGCAGAAACTATGCAAAGAAAATCACATTTCTTTTCTGTGTCAAACTTCTAAAAAACAAAAAGAAAAAGAAAACCTTGAAAGCAGCAAGGAAAAAAATGCATTACACAAAGGGAAAATATACTTCTCTTCAGAAACAATAGAGGCAAGAAGTCATTTTTTAAAACATTTTTGAAGTGCTGAAGAAAAAAAAAACAACCCTGTCATCATATAAGTCTGTAAACCATAAAAGTACTCTTTAAAAGTGAAGACAATTAAAAGTCATACATCTAGTAAGAAGCACAGCCAAGATTGGAACCAGAGCTATAGAAGTCGGAAGATTGCTTTCAGCCACTTTCCACCCTGCCTGTACTTCATCGCATTTGTTATGTACTGGCACAGGTCTCTGGCAATGCTAACCTTTAAATGTTTAATTTTTACAATTTGTTTTTATTATAAAAAATAATTAATGGTCTTATTAAAAATTCAGTCCATATCAAAGTATAGAAAGTAAAATTAAAGTAAAGTCAAAGCCTCAATTTTCCACTTCCTACAGACTCAAATTGGCAAATTAGCAATTAGACAAGCTCCACTTTCCTTGATCTCATTTCTCAGGCTGGGATGTGAAAAGTCGTGGTGAGAATACTTGTCAAGCCTTTTCTGTTATGGAAAATTCTCACTGGCAATAAAAATAAGAAGCTCAATCCTTTGAATATGCAAATTCAGGATATCCTATTTTTATCAGTCAACAAAAATCATCAGAAACTTTGTAATCAAAACTTTTGAAATGAAACTTTCTAACCAATTTACCAAAATGCCACTAACATAATTATTTGATTTATAAAAGAAAGCAGAAAGTTTTATGTGTTTTCCTGCTACCAAAACTATCTGATGTTATGTAAGTCCACATGCCATTACTCAGATGTTTTCCACCTTAGTTTCATTGATCAGCCTCACCTTCACAAACACTACCACTGTCACAGGCATACATGGGAACACTTCCAGCAAATATGGCTGGCAATTTTAAAAGTTAACATTTTTCTGTATGTATTCCCAGAAGCTTCTTGAGGTAGAAGATGAGAGTCATACCTGAAGGTCAGAAGAGGAGGCTTAGTTTGACCAGGCACTTCTGCTCCACTTGAGAAAGTATCCGTAGTCATTCCATTATCCATAGTTTGCTCATCTAATTTCAGACACAGTCAAAGGTGAAAAATAACTTTTCTTATTTATAGTGAGACCAATTAGCGAGAGGGAAAAAAAAAGTTGGTGGAGATCCTTAGAGTCACCTACTCCAACTGTGGGGTCTCCATTTCTTCAATGTTAAGTATTTTGAGCTCATTGGATTCCAGGGAAATGTATCTCATTTTTGGGGAGCTCTGACCATTAAATGTCATCCTGATAATGAGCCAAAATATGTTTCCTTTTAGGTGATACTTACAATCTTAAATCTAGTTCTCTACCCCATGGAATATTGAACTGTTCTTTTATTAGATAGTCACTGAAATGTTTAGAGGCACACCCCACGCACACTTTTCTTTCCAAGCTAAATATCCCCATTCCCCTCTTCATTCTTATGACTCTCCTCTCAACAGCTTCAGTTCAGTTCATTTCCCTTTGAGACAGAAGGACTCACTTCTCTGCTGATCAGATTGGGAGGAGATTGATTAATTCCCTCTTTTCTCTCTTGTTTTTGGAGTACAGTGGCAATCATAGCTCACTGAAGCCTCAAACCCTTGGGCTCAAGCGATCCTCCTGCCTTGGCCTCTCAAAGCACTGGGATTAAAGGCATGAGCCATAGTGCTGGGCCTCTTTTTTTGCTTAAAATATTTGTTTATTTTTACTGGTCATAAAGTGTTGGTTATAGAGATTTGGGAATATATCTTTAAAATACAATGAAAAAAATCATCTGCAATCTCTCCAGAGAGACATTTTGGTATATATATTTACGTATATATTAAACCTTTAAAAATTATACAGTACATATTGTTTTATGACAAAGCTAACGTAGCTAAGCCTTACAAGGTACATTCATTTTGTGTGTTTGTTTTTCTTTTGTTTTGTTTTGAGCTTGGGAATAAGCACATCGTTTAGTTGTATTATACTTTATGTTGGCACCTTCCCTTGGGATGCTTCCTCCTTTTTTTTCTTTCTAGTGCCACATTTTTATTTATAGTTTAAATTTGTGCTTGTTTTTTTTGTATACTCACAGATCACTGCACCTAAATGATCACAAATGAAAAAGGGATCAATTGATTTTCTTACATCCTCCTACATCCTTATTGCAGGAAAGCATATTACCAAGCAGCTAGTTCTGTATCTTTTAACTTGTTAAAAGTTATTTGCCTGATACCTGACCAGAAGTTTTTCCATAGTGTTATAGACTCACTTCTTTCTAATAATCTTTTGTATTCCTGAAAGTCACCTCAAGTCACATTAAATCACCAAAACCTTCCCATCTTTAAGGACTGCTGCATGCTTTTTAAAGCTTTCTTGATAGGTCCTATTTTCTATGCCTATCATCGCTTTCCTTGCACATCTCCTGACTCTCTGATCTCTTCACACTTCCTAAAAATGTGAAACTCTAAATTAGATACTGTCAAGTATGTTATAACTGACCAAACTTCATCTTTTCTGAGCAAGCCTCCCTATCCTTTTGCTATCTTAGACAAATTTTATCTTATATTTCCTCTTCTAAATCAAAACTTACTGGAATGGCCAAGAAAGTAAAGGAGATAATCCCTCCCACATACCCTACAGTTAAGCAGTTCCCTTCCTGCTACATGGAATAGTTGTATGCTTCATTATAAAAACTCTTAGAATGAAAAGCATGGCTTGAATTTAAGAATTTCCTCTTGAGTTTGAGGAAATGCCAGAACCTTGGGCGGGGACTGATCTCTGTTCTAGTGTGGTCCGGCCTCTTCTATGTATTGGCCTCTAAACTCTTGTTATTGACCCTGCCACTGACTGGTTACAAATTACAGAAAATTCTTAGTTTTGTTTTAAAAAAACAGTCAATATTCATAATTTAAACAGAATTTTCCTCTGTTATAGTTCCATTGTTCTACATCGTTTTTGTTTTTTTTTAACTTACTACTATAGATTCTAAGTCCCTTTGGACTCTCCTGTGAACTCTGAAAAATGGTCTCTCCTTACTCAGGAATGTTTTCCATTGTAGTGGTCATGTAGAACACGCTGATTTTTGGCAGAAAGGAAAGGCCTTGGCTAAGTGCTGCCTATAAAGCCACTCCCCATTCCTCCTTACTTCTGTGCTACCTGCCGTGGTAGTACTGAGGTGAGGTAGGTGTCAAATGATCTCATGCTCACTTTTGTGAGGTTTGGATGTTCTACTCCTACAATAGCAGCTTTCCCAATCTTGCAGCTCAAGTATCTCCCAAAACTGGAAGCCACAGCTAATCAGGTCTCCATCACTGCTCCATGTCCCTTCTGTTCAAATTCCTGGGATCGCTGCACTAGATATCCACACCTCCTGGGGGTTGCGGATCTAGATTTTTTACCATCCCCCAAAGCATGCCAACTCTTCTGTCCCTCTCACCTTCCTTACCTAGAATGTTGGCCTCACTTTCTCCTCCACACCTCTCTTGTTAGAGGCCTTGTTTCTAGGGGCCAACCGCTTGCCCATGTGTGGGAAGATCCTGTGTTCCTACAGCTGTTTTTTTGAAAGAGTTTTCATATCCTTTTTACTTTTGTATTCAATGCAGCTGACCATCTTATTTATAACAATTTATTTTTAGTAAATGTTATTTCTTTAACCTTAAAAGTGAATATCAGCATATTTTATCTTTCTAATGATGCTTTTTACCTATCATTTACTTTTAAGGGGGAGGAGGGAGGAATCACAAATAGCTCAAGAAGAATCATATGTATTAGCCCAGGTGCCTTTTTTATTCCACAAAACCATGGATGTGGAGAAAATTCCTTACACTGAGCCTCAGGGAAGACCCTGCTCCTACCCAGTCAACTACAGGAGACTGACAATACCAATAAAGAAACCCAGACAGCCAGATGAAAAAGATAACTCTCTTATGTTTTTCCCAGGATATTTCAGTCCCTCTGAGAGTGGGTTTGTGCACTAAAAACCCAGGTCTGTGATTGACATATAATCAGATTCACCCATGGAGGTTTAGCAACTCAGTCTCTCAAAACTAAACTTAGATAATAGCAAAATAGTTTTGAACATTCTTCTTTAGAATATTTCTATGGGAGCCATAACAGAAAGATTATGTCCACGTTATTACAATTTTTAATGAAGACTTTTTAAATGCAGAATATACATGACTTAATTGATTCATCTTCTAGATATAGTTTAAATTAATGTTTCCCCTGAGTTAAATCTATGTATACCCCTTATACACTGAGAACTGAGCAGAAGCAACTGGAGCCAGGCTTATCTCAGGAGTTTTTGGAACAGGGGCTTGGGTATGCTTCACTTTTGTATTCATCAGTGTTCTCCAGAGAAACAGAACCAATAAGAGACCATATATATATAAAATGAGAAATTGGCTCACATGATTTTGGAAGCTGAGGAGTCGCATGATCTGCCATCTGCAAGCTGGAGAACTAGGAAAGCCAGTGATGTAATTCATTTTGAGTCCAGAAGCCTGAGAACAGGAAGAAAAGGAGCTGTTGGTGTAAGTCTCTTCATCCAAAAGCCTGAGAACCAGGAGCTCTGATGTCTGAGGGCAGAAGATGAATGTCCCTGCTCCAGAAGAGAGAAAGAGTGAATTTGCCTTTCTTCTGCCTTTTTGTTCTGTCTGGGCTCTCAGCAGATTGGAACACTTGCCCACATTGGTGAGGGCAATCTTCTTTGCTCAGTGGACTGATTCAAATGCTATTCTTTTCTGGGAACACCATCACAGATACCTGGAAATAATATTTTACTAGCCATCTGGGCACCTCTTAGCTTGGTCAAATTGGCACATAAAATTGACCATCACAGATTTCAATTTTTTTGTTTATATGTTGGGAGAAACTCTTCCCAGTACAGTACTCTTGGGATTGTGGAATGAATATTTTTTAAAGGCTTTTTTTAAAGCATAACTGACCTTCTAGTAAAGTTACAGGAATTTGTGGAGGCCAGATACGAGTGCAGGCCAGTAGCTCCTATAGACAGACACTCTCACGCTGGTTATGTAACTGAGGCATGTGACTGCTGCTCGTAGTGTTCTAGAACCTGGGTTTTAACAGTTGCCAATATGGCATTCAAAAGGAAAGGCTTGGAACGCAGCAAATGTGAAATGTTGGACCAGAGACCTAGAGTAAATCCAGGAAACTCTCAGTGGATGAGCTAGGATGAAATCTGTCCCATAAGAAAGGAAATAGGGAAATGTGCCTGTCTGAGTTTTGGTCTGTTGATAGCAAAATAAATAGGAAAAACATTTCTCCTTTGAGAATTTCTGACCATAGCCCATATGTATGCATATTTGGGGCTAGAAAGCATATTATCTGTATGAATTTAAAACCACTGAAGCTAAAATTTAATTTTAAGTAGTCTCAGATTGGTAGTTTCCCTAGGTGTTTGGCATAAACAATTACAGATCCTCTGGAAGAATGCATTTTAAAATAGGATCTCAAAGAATTCCCACAGGTCAAGTTCTAAGGACTATGAGCTACTAATTTTTTAACATTTTAAACAAATCACATGAGAAAGAGGCAGCGTAACAATAAGCTACAGAAACAGACCTGCAAAGATTACAGATGTTGGAATTACTAGATAAAGAATTAAAGTAAATATGTTTAAAGAAATATAAGACAGTTTTCATTGTATGACACGGGAGAAAGAGATTATCAAAAATTGATCAGGTAGATCTGAAAAAAACAACAAATAGAATTTCTAGAAATGAAAATGTAATAATTGATATTAGAAACCAATATAGAGATAAAACAACAGCTGTGATTCTACTAAAGAGAGAATTAGCGAACTGAAAGTTAGTTCTTCAGACTTTATTCAGGACGCAGGACAAAAATAGAAAGATGAAAATATGAAACATGTTAATTGACATGGAGAGTGAGAATGTGCAATATGAACTCAGATTCCGGAAGGAGATTATAGAGAGAAAGGGAGATGGGCACTAAAGAGATAATGGCAACAGATTTTTCAGAATTAATAAAAGACACAAATGCCTAGGTTCTGACAATCTAGTGAATACCAAGCAAGGTATTCACTGCATTTAGAATGAAAATAAGACCACATTTAGACGTATCGTAATAAAACTGCAGAACCCTAAGGAGACAATCTTACACAAAACAAAGGAAAGATAAAGACTACCCACAAAATAGTAACAATTAGACAAACAATGACATCTAGAGAAGTGTAATAATACCAACAAAACCTACAATTACATATGTAATAAAATTATCCTTTAAAAAAGAGGGTATATTGAAGATATTTTCTAATAAATAAAAGTAGAGTTTCCTACTAACAGATTTTCAGCAAGGGAACTTCAAATGATGTACTTCAGGGAACTAAACTGAAGAAGGAATGGTAAGTAAATAATATGGCAAACATGAAGGCAAATCTATACAAATATTAATTGTTCAAATCATAATGATACTGTTTTGTTTGTGAGGTATGAATCTGGAAAAAAATTAAACCATAGGCAAGAACAGTATTCAAATTAGGAAGTGGTGGTTGGGATTAAAATGTTCCAAGGTCCTTGTATTGATTTGGAGGAGGGTAAAATTAACTTTAAACACTGGAGTATTACATTTCTTAAGTAACCACTAAAAGAATAGAAATAGAACCCCTAATTTAAAACCTATTAGAGGGAAGACAATAAAATGAGGGAGGGAAATTCAATAACTCCAAGAGAAGGGAAAATGTGCAGCAGAGAGAAGAAACAATACATGAGACAAATCAAAAGTCCAAAACATCACCAAAATGAGTAGAAATATATCAGAAATCAGTATCAATGTCAATGCACAAACTTTTCCAGTTAAAAAATAAGTCAGCAGCATAAATTTTTAATATTCTAGATGTACGATGATTATAAAAGATACACTTAAAAATGGAAATACCAAAAAAAGATTGAAAATACAATAAGGAAAAAAATAAATTTGGTAAACTCCAAAAAGAGAGCTACTTTAGATATATTCGATATAAACTTTAAGACAAAAATGTTACTTAGTGATAAGACTCACTACCTATTGATTAAATTTTAGTTAGAGTTAAACAATCCTAAGCCTGTAAAAATACCTAGTAATATTGATTCAAAATAGATAAAGTAAAAACTGTCCTAGCAAAGTGGGAGATTTTGAAAGTGACTTTCAATAATGGTAGAGCAAGAAATAGTAAAGTGTGTTTGCTATTTTATTTTTAAAAGAAACAACTTTTCACTTGGATGATACTTTCTGTTATGTCTTTGTTTTATTTTTCATTATTTTTTCCACTCTTTTTATCTTCTTCCTGATTTATTCTTGGAGCTTAAGAAATTTAGTCAAGTATAGAATAGAATAAATTCAAGGTATTAGTAAACTCAAGCATGAAAAAGCAATTTAGGGCCAGGCACTGTGGCTCATGCCTGTAATCCCATCACTTTGGGAAGCTGAGGTGGGTGGATCACTTGAGCCCAGGAACTCGAGACCAGCATGGGCAATATCTCTACAAATAAAAAAGAAAAATTTTTTTTTTTTTAGTTAGCCAGGAGTGGTGGCACACCTCTGAGGCCTCAGTTACTCTGGAGGCTGAAGTGGAAGGATCTTGTTTAAGCCCCAGCAATTGAGGTTGCAGTGACCTGTGTTCACACCGCTGCACTCCAGCTTGGGCAACAGAGTGAGACCCTGTCAAAAAAAAAAAAGAAAGAGAGAGAGAGAGAGAAGGAAGGAAGGAAGGAAGGAAGGAAGGAAGGAAGGAAGGAAGAAAAAAAGAAAGGCAATTTAGGTCAGGTACAGTGGCTCACTCCTGAAATCTCAACACTTTGGGAGGCTGAGGTGGGAGGAGGATTGCATGAGGCCAGGAGTTCAAGACCAGCCTGGCCAACATGATGAGACCTCATCTCTATTTTCAAAATAAAAATATTTTTTAAAAACAAACAAGGTAATGGATGTGGATGTTCTATATTATTCATTGTTATGAAATGACATTATTATTTTCATATATAATATACTATGCACAAGAACATTTGTAATGTAGTCAATACTTTTATAGACTGATATTATCAAAGACTATAATGTAAAATAACACCTTGATGGTATGTTTTCAAAACCAAATTTAACCCTTAAAGACCATTACAGTAAAACTTAAGTTATTATCATGATTCCTCTGTTCAAATGAATATAATGTATTATTGTTTTTCGAAATGTGCACCCTAGAAGGATGTGTCTTTGGTCTGACTCCAAAATTTTAAACACCATCTTCAAAATCTGTTTCAAAGTAAGAAGAACTGTATGGCTCAGATTGTTGCAATCCATCATGGTAACTCTAGATGTCTTGAAATACCACTAGCAGTAAAGTTCTGTATTTTCTGAAGCTTCCTAGGTAGCTTTGAAACCCATAACAGTTAGCAAATGATTGGTTGGCATGTTTATATTTCATGGTCACAGTTTAAGCTAAAATTTCACTCCCTGAAAATAAGGTTAGAGGTGAGTTCCACCTGGATGATTAAGAGCCATTATTGACAACACAGAATAAAAGTTTCAGAACCACATTTTTCTTGGTGCTAAGACATGCGTGGAAGAGAAAGAAATAATGACGAGTTAATGGGTGCAGCACACCAGCATGGCACATGTATACATATGTAACTAACCTGCACATTGTGCACATGTACCCTAAAACTTAAAGTATAATAATAATAAAATTAAATTAAATTAAAAAAAAAGAAATTGTTTCTTACAGAAAAATTGCATAGAACTCATGAAATGACAACATTAAGAGTAGAAGTCAATACTCAATGGTGACCATCAAGAAACACCCTTTAAATAATAAGTCCTTGGGACCCAAAGCATGTACTTCCCAGTAAGCTCTTGTTACCTAGGATCTCAAACTAGGTAATTCAAGAAGCTCCAACCTAGTTAGAGATACCATCCTGGAATAGGGCTTAGTTAGGCCTAAGGTCTACAACAGACTCTGCAATTAATTTAACATTAGCAGAAGCATTTTACAAATTACTGTGAACATTTCTTCCAGCCATAATCTTTTACAGTTTCTTTTGTGTTTTTTAAAAGGTCATCTATTTGAATTCCTTCTTCTAAGCAAGAGTACAAATAGTCTCTTATTCTTTGACCTTTCATTCGTTTCCCTAGTCTTTGAATATCAGGAAGCAGAGAGAAATCTGTTTCTCTCTCCACCTACCTTACAACAGCAAAGACTTTTGTCAAATTGCTAGTGAATCGGCCACAGCTTGCCCTGGGTACTTGTTCAAATTCCTCTGAGTGATTTAGAAAACAGCAATTTCTGCCTATTTTCTAGGATGTGATGTTTTCCTGACAAAGCACAGGACACAAGTAACAATATAACATATACTATGAGAGTGTCTCCCCACGGTGGGGACAAGATGACCACACATCCTGGTTGGCCTACAACAATGTTGTGTTGTGCCAGTGTCCTGGAAAAACTATCAAGAGCAAGACTCTCAAAAGTTTTTCCAGATGATGGAGTACCTGGCTCTACCATATGTGGAGCAGATTTCCCAGAAATCCAGTCCAAGGAATTTCCAAGCTCCACCACAGTGTGGAATCTCTCCCAGATACTCTGTTAAAGGGAGTAACACACTAAGTGAAACCTTCTCTCCTCAGGACCAAGATACCATCCAACTTCTGAGTAAGCAACCAATGCCCTAACTCCACTTTTCCTGCTTCTCCCTTTCAGTCCTCCAAAGGACAAGAGTATTCTGCACCTGAATTTCTAGGGAGGGTCCAGCAGGAACTGTCTTTCGAGTCTTTCAACATCAGGATATAGGATTTGTGGCAAAAAAGAAAAATATGTACCATACATGTCTGTCTTCACACACACAAAAATAAGTCTTCTGGAAGGACTTTGCAGGAAAACATGGGTACTTTAGTGTGTGATGTCTGTGGGTTTGAACTTCGGGGCACATCCAGATATGTAGGAATAACACATCAGTGTATTTTCTGTGACTCAACCCATTTTAACTTAGCCACTAGTGAAAGTAGGAAGAAAACTTCACCTCAGTCACATTTAGGGCTCTCCCCTCCCTTTAGAAAAGATCTTGGGCCATGATTCCAAAATCTTTCCCCATATCAGAGATAGGGTAGAGATTCTGTGACTATGGTCAGGGTCAGGATTAGTCAGGAGATTTAGTCACCACCAAATTGCACCTGCTGTCTTGGCTGCATAGCTCCTTCTTGTCCAGCAGCTCTTGGCAGCTCCTGATGCCACACTTGAAGCACAGGTATACTTTTTTTAAAGCTGCCAACAGACCACTCTGCCTAGATGTATCAGTGATAGCATTAGCAAGAGGCAGAGCCAGTATCTTCACTGCTCTGAGACCCGTGTTTCCCCATTTCTTCCCCCTAGCTCTTCTGAGTCCAGGAGGAATATCTTTCTTGTGTGGGGCAGGAGTTAAGTGCTGCTTTTTCCCTTGGTTATCCAGAACTCTGCATTTACTGGAAAATCCTTATTCCTTTATCTCTTCTGCAAATTACTCTTCAGGTTTTAGGCTTTGGGAAAATAAAAGCCAGAAAGATTTGCAGGCTAATTTTGCATTAGCCCTGCCACATTTCCCCTGAGGCAACATAACAGAAAGTCAGCTACCAGCTTGAATAAGGGTAGGAATAGAGAAAAATAAGGGAAGGGGAAAACATCTCAAAACAGTATCTAGCCACGAAATCAACAGGAAAACAAAATCAAACAGTGTTAAGTTGCTCTCTCCTTATCCGTATAGTAACCTGATGAAAATGTGTTTTCTTCAGGGAAGCATTCCCTGAGGAGTGTAGGCACTCCTTTATAAATATTCTATTGAAAATCAGACCTGGCAACAGTGAATCTTCGTGACTTCCTGCACAACCCCAGGAAGTGAGCTGTGGCTTGCCACTCAGACAAGGCCACCTAGACAAGGCCAGTACCCTTCACTTGGCCACAGTCTCTGTTACTCATCCAGTAGACCCTTGAATTTGAGAGCCTTGGTCCAAGCACCTGTGTTGTAAGTTCTGTGATGTCAAAGATTGGGGTTTTTTTGTTGATTACAACAAGCACAGTGTCTGGCACATATTAGGACTTGATGTGTATGTCTACAATGAATAGATTCAAACCTCCTCTCCCTCCCAAAACCCATAACATTTTGTTTTTATTCAACTCTGCCTTATTAATCCTCCCTCCCAAAAGGATTTGATGTATTTATTATACATGACAACTGTATCCTGACACTTACCTGCAATATACAAGGTTGAGCAGAGTGAGTCTTCTCCTCAGTGGCCTCCAGCCAGAGGAAATACTCATATGACCTCCTGGGCCTCTCTGGGTCACGATATCTGGGCTGCTGCCTCTACACACACACACCCCAACATATACCCTAGCTGTATCTGGAGTCAACCTCATTGTGTGTCTAATATCAGTCAGTCTCCCCATCTAGAACGTGAACTCTAGGAGAGGAGTAAGAAGAGTTCTGGTTCCATTGTACCCCCAAGCCCAGCACAGCACCTGCCATCAGAAAGGGTACTTTCTACTCTATGAGAGTAAAAGAAAGATAATAGCGCCCCCACCCCCACACCCTTACTTAAATTCCAAATGTTTCTCAGGTGCACAGTTCCAGGGTAACAAAGCATGTTTTACTTCAGGTTCCTTTATTTTATGCATTGCCATAGCTGCATGGCAAAAGCATTTACTCCTTTTGTACTAAATCACTGTCTTCCTCCTCCCTTCCCAATCTTTAGTTTTTTAAACTATTCCTAAGATAATATAAGTATTTCATTTTGACTAAGTTTACTGGGATTGGGTCTGCCCAATTTTCAAATAACAAATACATAGTGGTTCAACATTCATGGCATTCATTCAGTAAGCATTGACTGAGCTGCTTTTATTTGCTAGATACCAAGCTAGGTGCTAGAGATATAAAAGTGAATAGGACCTGTAGTCCACAGTCTCTAAATGAGGCCATAAATGATCCATCCCCAGGGAAATGGTGAACTCAGAGAACCCCACAATGCAAATCAAGGTACAGCTTTTCCTGTCTGATGAACTGTTAAGGACTTAAGATAAGTTTCCTAGACAACTTGAACCAAAGCCAGCTTCCCAGGGTTTTGGGTTATCTTCTAAAGCTGATGTAGTCATAAATTTTCTATAGACTCCCAGCCCTTCCAGAGATTCCTCTGTTTTCCCATATCAATCCAATTACTCATGCCCAACTGTCTCTCATTCTATCTCTCTATCTCATTCTATCTCTCTGGACCTTTATTCTGGAGAGATCTCATTTTCTTGTAATGTGTACAAGTTGTGATTTGTTCACTACCCCATGCTCTCTGTCACTGACTCAAAATCTGAAATGAGATAATGTATGTAACAACAGCCTGCACTAGGCAGGCATGTGAATGTTACCTCTCTTCTCCCTTCTTCCCCAAAATGCCAATGCTGAAATTGCTTCTCTGTCAAATGGAGCACTCACATTTTGAGAGCTTGTTTTTATTTCTATTTCTTTCTCCCTCACCATCTTTGCCGAGACTGACAAATGTTCCAGTTAATGCCAAGCCCCCTTCCCTCAGATGTAAGAAAAAAGAGGCCTGAAAATTGTAACCAACTCATGAAAATAGTTCTCTGAGCAGATAAGTGAAAGTGAAACAACAAAAAGAAGTTGAATTTTTTCCTGCACTGTTTCACCTTTTGGTCATGACAAGACTTCTTCAATGATAATGGAATGTACACTTTGCTCTGTTTTTTCCTTGACAGCCCTTAATCAGTTTTCCCCTAGTTATCCAGCGCGTGGGTGGCTGGAGGGACTTCTCCCAAAGCTTCAAGATGAAATGACTTTCTGAGAGATGTATGAACCAAGACTCCAGCCCACTCAAAGTACAGATCCTAATGAGTCATTTCAATTTTAGGAAGCATATTAATCTAAAAGGTGCCTGAGCCAGAAAACAAAATTCTCTTGACTGTGAGAGTTAAAAATAGTTTTTGTTACAAGCAAAGGGGAAACTCCTCCTAGCATATAAATCATTCACCATTGCCACATGGAAGATGTCAACTTAGGCTGGTGTCTCTGGCTTTTGCCAGACACAGAGTTGTTTCAAAAATAATGGCATAAATTCCTATTGCCCAATTCCTCTGGGACCACTACATAAAGCATTTAATTCATATTCTGTCAAGTCATTGAGCAGTCAGCACTTACCAAAGAACTTAATACTGAATGTGATTGCTTCATTATGTGTAACTATCTTTAACTTGAGCAATAATGCTATGGGGTCACTTAGAACTTGACACAGAGTCGCAGATTGAAGGGGAGGTCTGCTGCCACAGACACCAGCTGACCTCCTGACAAAATGATTCACTTTTTCCTGGTAGTGGCACTCCAGATTCTCAGAAAATTCCTTTTACATTTGTTATACTTTTGTCTTTCAAGTTGTCTTCATTTACTAAAGTTCAGTGAAAGAAAATCACAGTATAGGAAAAACTAGGCCAGGCACGGTGGCTCACGCCTGTAATCCCAGCACTTTAGGAGGTGGAGGCGGGTGGATCACCCGAAGACAGGCGTTCGAGACAAGCCTGGCCAACATGGTGAAACCCCGTCTCTACTAAAAATACAAAAAGTAGCTGAGCGTGGTGGCATGCACCTGTAATCCCAGCTACTCGGGAGGCTGAGGCAGGAGAATCACTTGAACCTGGGAGGCAGAGGTTGCGGTGAGCCAAGACCGTGCCGTTGTACTCCAGCCTGGGCAACAAGAGCAAAACTCCATTTCAAAAAAAAAAAAAAGGAAAAACTATACTTCTGGTTGAAATCCCTTAAACTTATTGGACAGTGCATTGGTAATTCAGTATCATGTTTCTTAAAGAAAAAGAAAAACAAGATCTTTTAAGGCTGAATAATATCTCATTGTATATATACACCACATTTTCTTTATCCTTTCATTCATTAACAGACACTTACGTTGTTTCCATATCTTGGCTATTGTGCTTTGATGAACAAGAGAGTACAGATATCTCTTCAACATACTGATTTCATTTCCTTTGGGTATATACCCAGAAAAGGCATTTCTCGGTCATATGATAGTTTTATTTCTTACTTTTTTGAGGAAGTTTCATAACCTGCACTGATTGACATTTTTGTTTGTTTGTTTTTTGAGACAGAGTCTTACTCTCACTCAGGCTGGAGTGCAGTGGTGCAGTCATGGCTGACTGCAGCCTCGACCTCCTGGGCTCGAGCAATCCTCCCACCTCAACCTCTCAAGTAGCTGGGACTACAGGTGTGAACCACCATGCCTGGCTAGTTTTTAAATTTTTTTGTAGAGAGGGAATCTCACCATGTTGTTCAGGTTAGTCTTGAACTCCTGGACTCGCAATCCTCCTGCCTCGGCCTCCTAGAGTACTGAGATTATAGGCATAAGCCACCATGCCCAGTCCAACTTACATTCTTACCAGCAATGTACAAAGATTCCCTCTTCTCTAGACCATCAGTGACACCTGTTATCTCTTGTTTTCTTGATAATAGCCATTCTAACAGGTGTGAGTAATATCACACTGTAGTTTGATTTGCATTTTCCTAATGATTAGTGATGTTGAGCACCTTTTCATATATACTTGGCCATTTTTTATGTCTTCATTGAAGAAATGTCTATTCAGGTACTTTGCCCATTTTTAAAATCAGATTATTATTATCATTTTACTATTAAACTGTATAAATGTCTTACTATATATTTTAGATATTAACGCCTTAGCAGATATATGGTTCACAAATGTTTTCTCCCAATCAGTAGGCTGTCTTTTGATTTTGTTGATTGTATACTTTGCTATGCAGAAGTTTTTGAGTTTGATCTCTTAAAAGAAAAATTTTAGACAAATTAAATGTAACAGAGTTTAATTGAAAAACTCCAGCTGAATTAAATTTAAAGGAGTTTAAGCAATAAATGTTTCACAAATCGGGCAGCCCCCAGAATCACAGAAGATTCAGAGAGAATCCAGGGGGCCTCGTGGTCAGATCAAATTTATAGACAAAAAAAGTAAAGTGATATACAGAAATCCAAAGTGAGGTACAGAAACAGCCAGATTAGTCACAGGTTGGCATTTGCCTTATTTGAACACAGTTTGAACACTTGGCAGTGTATGAGTGGTTGAAGTATGTCTGCTGGGATTGGCCAAGACTCAGCTATTGTTATAGGCACATACTGCTAAGTTAAGTTTTCAATCTTGTCTACTTGTTAAATTAGGTTGCAGTTAGTTCACAAGGACTCAGATATAGAAGTATGGAGTCCTTCTCAGGCCATATTTAGTTTGCTTTAACAATTCCCCCCTTTTAGTCGTTTTCTTCATTTTGAGAGACTGACCAAAATGTTAGTCATTGATGCCACTATTACCTTGTAAATGTACTTATTTGGTCTTGGAACCCACTGGGAAACAGTAGAACAGTGAGTTTTGCAAAGGTAGGAACAAGGGTTCCTCCTTATACTGGAACATCCTGTTTACAGGAGAAAAACAAAACCTGGTCTGTTCTGGACCAGGATCTATGTGTTTCCTTAAAAACTTAGTTTGATTATATCACACTTAGCACGAGCAACTCCATTTTGGTTTGGTTTAGTCTGTTAGGGCCTATTGCATGAGCTCAGTCCAAAAAAATGGACTGCCATAATTTTGCTTAAAAAAAAAAAATCCCCCTTTGGTCAGGTTCTTACTTAGGTGAGAGTATGATTTAAAAAAACTTGGGGCCTTAGCACCACTCTCAGCGTGATTTTGGGTTTCTAGTCTCAGCATATCATTCATAGGTTTGGTATCCTCATGGTCACACATTTCTTTCAGCTCTTGTCATTCCACTTGAAGAGAGACCATTTGACATTCTAGAGATGGCTGCATGCAAATATTTAAGACATTTGAGAGAATACAGCGCACCAGGGGTTCTACTATTGTGACTATGGGGAGGATAATACCAAGAGTTTGCAGTATGCTCCTTACCCAGAGCTCCCATAAACCAAACCACCTAAAGTCAAATAGATCAAAGAATTAGTTAGTCTACTTGCTTAACTAAGCACTCTTTTTGTTAATCCCCTACAACTGAATCTCTAAAATATCCAATGTTTTCTCCATAGGCCATGAGTGCCAGTACCTGCACAGATACTTTCCTGTTTCGCCAATTCTATTATTTAGCATAACTTTCACAAGAGAATTTAAAGTCTGTTGTGTAACCATAGCCTTTACAGTAGAATCTGCTATAGAGCCTATCATGAGGAATACACTTCTAGTCATTGCCTCTTTTATTCCAAACCATGGAAAAAGGACCTAAAACACGATGCCCTTCTAGAAGAGTAAAGGCCTCCTGGAAGTGTTCTCTTTAACCCATGATGTGGGTTAAGAGAAGTGAATCAATGTTCTGTTTCTTACTGATTATGCGGCGACATATGTACCATTAAAGTTTCTCACCTGCATTGGGACTTCTCTTTCATCTATCAAAGTATAAGGTTATCTATGTATAAGGCTAGCTGAAAAATCCTTCACAAATAAAAGTACACACAGTGGGATACAAAAGTATCCCATAAGTGCACACAACAGACCCCCTATTCATTTCTATTGTTCATAGAGGCATAAACGAAAAGATATTCATAGATAAGAGTCTCATGATTGTAGAGAAGTCTTGATCTGTGATCTTGGGAAAAGCTGTTCACATCAAGGATACCATCTCCCTGGTTAGCTTTACCTTAAGCATTCCAATGGGTGTACAGTTCCAAGAGTGTGGAGGGACCCTTCTCAGTTGTGAGATTATGAACCGAAAGTTCAAGGTTCCAAAGTTTGTGTTGCAGTGTGGATAGCAAGGGCAGTCTTTCTCTTATGTTCTCAGAAGATAGAGTTCTTGGGTTCTAGATTGTAAAGGGGTTGAATGTCATCAGTGAACCACAAAAACCTTTCTTTACCTGGTGAAAATACAGTGTAGCATAATAATCTACTGTTATAACATCAGTGCTCTTACATGGGAGAGCTTTTATACAACCAGAAAACATGCATTGAAAATGACAGTTGAATGAAATCCCTTTATAAAATGTTTAAATGGCCCATCAGGTAAACAAATGTACTTGAGGCTTTGATTGTTTTTCCAAGAATATGGGTTTGACAAACCAAATATTGGTTATAAGCTATTTTAGCAATTTATTAGTCACCACACCAATATATTTAATTTGGATCATTTTATCTTTTCCATTATGAGTCATGGAATGCAGAACTTTTAATAATAAAAGCTTTAAGGACTCAGGAAGGACAAGGTGGCATGAGTCCTTGTTTAATATTGGACTTATATCCTCTTGAATACGAGTTGTTATTCCAAATTAGGTGTCTAGCACTGATAACTGATGAGTTACCATAGGTAATTTGACTTAGACCATGGAGTTCATTCAAATTGTATAGCTAAGCAGTTTCAGTATTCGCTGATTTAACATGCAAATCTGGCAAAGTATTTCCTTGGTATTCAATTGATTTTTGTTCTCCTTGGGTTAGCAGTTTTATAAACCAGTCAGTCTTTTTATTAAAGTTTCAGGAATTCTTATCCAGTCCAATCCTTGGGGAATTGGGGAATTCATGGGGAATTTTTACCCATGATACGATTTTAAAGTTATTAGAAACCTGTATTCAAGAGTGCTTTTCAGGGTCCTTTTCATCCTTTCATGAACCTCCTAAAAGACACCATATTCTAGGATTTTCCTTGCTTGTGAAGTTCAGAAACTGCATTAGCATTAAGCAGTTAACTGTGGAAATGACTTTAAATAGTCAGTTAAATACACAATTAACAAGGAAATTTGGTTATTTCTGTGGTCTACAATAACTTAACATAATAACCATAGTTATGATTGATAGCATATACTCAGACATATTAGAATTTTAGAAATCCCATACAATTTTGGAACATATTGATGGTATACACTAAAATATAACCTGAAGAAGGTTAAACATTATCTTTTATTTTGACAATGCTTCCCTTATAACTTAACATGTCACATAATTCTGTTTACCTCTCTTTTGCATGCTTCAGGAGCCCTCTGCAGCATCTCAAAGTTAGAGGTCAGAAAAGACAATTTTGAAGCTGAAATTTGATTTTGGGAAGCCCATCAAATATATTAAAGGTTTGAAACACTTGATATTATTAAACAGAATTCCAGGTTGCCATAAGTCATTCATTTAGCCAAAATGATGACTCAAAATATTTTAAAAAGGCAAAAACCTTTACTCATTGATGGAGGGAAGACTTAGCTTTCCAAAAAATTTGTCTTTTATCTTTCCCTTCTTTTTTCGGTAGTTTATTCGAAAGGTAAACAAAAATCTTTCATTATCTTTTAATATTACATGAAAATCTTGTTCAAGAGAGAAAACCACATTTCACCCTTGCATTAGTGTACTATTAATGTCAACCTCAACTTTTAATAAAACCTTATAGACAAGACAAATCTATCTAATCTTAATCAGTTTGACCATAAGGTCAAAAGGTTTATTCTCATAAAGCTTTTATAAGCCTTTACAAATTTTGGTTAAAGAGCAGATCAGTGCTTTAAGAAAACCCTGTTGTGCTCTTATTCCAATGTTCAATTTATGGAAAAACTTAATAATACCCCTTTAACTTTAGTCAGTGTCCACACAGAATTTCTTTTTATAAGATTGATTTTTCACAAACCTTCCACAACTTGTTCAAACTTTTAGCTTTATCCTATCTAATATAAAACAATCCTTTAACCCTCTAAACTTAGGCAAGAAAATCCACATTTTTATGCATTCTTATAGTCTTTTCTAAAAATACATTTTACTTTCTTTACATACCTTGCATGTAAAAATTTTTTTCAGTGGTCTCCATTACATATGATAATGGTAACTCTTAGCAATTTTCAATTTTGGTGAAAAACCTGGTAAGTTATTTTAGTTATATACTAGGTGTGGAGCCTAGGAAATCAGACAGAAGTGCAGATAGGGTCTGACTCTTTCCAGCATAGCTAGGGGTGTGGCTAACTCCACACATGCCCAGGCCTTACCAAGCTGTAAAGCAGGAAAGATGAACAATTTTCAAAAACCAAAGAAGCAGTTTATAACCTTAAAGCATTTAGCAAACCTAATATCTGACCTAATTTAGACCAAATGTCTTTATTTTAAATTATCTTTAAAACTTTTTATTTCTCAAAGATTACAAAAGTCACATGAACTAAAAGCCATTACAGTTTTTATTTTTCTTTCAAAATATTTGATTTAAGCACTTATTTTTAAGCCAATTAATTAGAGCTCTTTTATATGAACATCACACACACACAACATATATATAACTACACAGACAGACAGAAGAAGATCCAATAGTTGTTAAGATTTTTCATTTGCCAGTTTTGAAGTTTCTTAATTGGATTACTGGATTTAGAGTGGAGTCCTTAGAGGAATAGGGCCAGGAAAGCATGCAGTTTTTACAAAATCTAGAATCTTCAAAGGTAGCTCAAAGAAAGGAAAATTCAAGAAGAGAAGCCAGAAGTTGTTCATGGAGGGGAAAAGATAAAGGTCATGCAGATATTAAACCAGAAAGTACTCATTCCCTAAGCCAGGATTCAACCTGGACCACCATTGTAAAATGGCAGACATCAAAAGAAAGTACTGCCATGTGGTTACAAGGTTTAGCTCCCAAGGACATAAAACAAGATGGAGGCCTCATCTATTTTTTTTTTCTTTCTTCAGAGATCTGCAGCAAAATTTATAACAGACCAGCTTTCTGGGCCATCTTGAATAGCGAGCTTATGGGTTCCTAAGCCCGTGTTCTATCCTAAGGTACCCCTCTTTATGACAGAATGACAAAGAAAGACAAATTCATATCACAAAATACACCAGATTTGCTACAGCTTAAGACTAGCCTCAGAATCCTTTTTCACATTAATCAAAACTTTACAGAGGAGATAAACAGTGGTTTTTACCATTCCTTTAACCGGTTTGCACAGAGAGAGAGGGGCCAGAAGTCTGACTGTAAGAAATTCTTGCCCTTTTGCTGGCATGTCAGCTTTCTAAGTTCTCTTTCCCTGAATGGCCCTAGCGACCCTGCTTGCCACACTATAGCCCTGGAGACCAAGCCACAACACAAAAGAAAATCTTTTTTTTTTCCCCTCTCTGTTTCATGGAACCCCAGGCAGAAGCCTCTCAATTTTGTAAGATGCTGTCCAAGGAGTTTCATCCGGTAACCAAATTAACATTTTCCATTCCTGCCAGAGCAAAATGTGTGTGACAAAACATAGACATTAGCCACTCTGCTTAGCACCCAGTATTAGACTGGCAAGGCTCAAACTTGCCCCCGGTTGGGCCTTGTCATCTTTAGTCCCTTTTAACCAAGAAGGACTTTACTGAGGGGAGGGCCTCTAACCCAAACTTATCCTTTACTCAGGTAAAATGTACCCCCATTACTTATCCAAAGTCAGCCAATTGGTGCTGCCGTCTATTTCTTTGGATCAGGATAGTAACTAAGATAAAAGGTTAGCAGATTTAATTTTGGGGAGCCCTCATTTTTAAATACACTTCAATGTGTTGTTTATCCAGAACATTCCACTGTAAGTTATCTTTAGTAAGATTTTGCCATTTCTGTAAGACTTTGCTCCTCCCTGGGTCTAATGTATAAGTCAAAGGGAACTCAGTTTTTCAGCAATTCAGGATCCCATTTTTACCTAAAGTATTGGCTTTGCTCTCAGGTTCCCTTGGTTAACTTAGCCAATGATTTTTTTTTCCTACCTAAGTGCACAAGAAAAGTGAAATGAAGGGGTAGAACACAAAAATCCCTGTGAATTTTCAAAAGCCAAATTTTACAACCCCTGCAATATTATCATTTACTACCAGTTTCTTCTGACCCAGTCAGATGTAAGAGGCCTCTAACTGGATCCAAGACAGTTAATTACTGGATCAAATCTGATCCTGGACCTAGTCCAGTTTCTGTTGTGACTTCCAAACCCAGTTTGGAACAGAAATTTGTTCAAAGAAACTCAGAGAGCTCAAAACACAAATCCATGGAACTCTAAAATTTAAGAGAGAACTTACCCATGATTCCCAGCTGCTCTGAGAGATCAGCGGACACAGGTGGGTCCTGCGGGTACCTTGAGTGTTCACTCCGCACTCCTGGGGTCGTTAAAGCTCTACTTCGGACCCTGCTTCTGACACCATCTATTAAAAACTCCAGCTGTATTAAGTTTAAAGGAATTTAATCAAGCAATGAATGATTCACAATTTGGGCAGCCCCCAGAATCGCAGCAGATTCAGAGACTCCAGGGGGGGCCTCCTGATCAGAACAAATTTGTAGACAAAAAAGTAAAGTGACGTATGGAAATCAGAAGTGAGGTACAGAAACAGCTGGATTAGTTACAGGTTGGCATTTGCCTTATTTGAACACAGTTTGAACACTCAGCAGTGAGTGAGTGGTTGAAGTATTGCTGCTGGGATTGGCCAAGACTCAGCTATTGTTGTAGGCACATGTTTCTAAGTTAGGCTTTCAATCTTGTCTACCTATTAAGTTAGATTGCAGTTTGTCCACAATGATTTGAATATAGACGTACAGTGTCCTTCTCAAGCCTTATTTAGTTTGCTTTAACAAGTCCCATTTGTTTATTTTTGCTTTTGTTGCCTGTGTTTTGGGTGTGATATTCAAAAAATCAGCTGGGGCCAGTGGCTTATGCCTGTAATCCTAGCACTTTGGGAGGCTGAGGCGGGCAGATCACTTGAGGCCAGGAGTTCGAGACTAGCCTGGCCAACGTGGTGAAATCTCATCTCTACTAAAGATACAAAAATTAGCTGGGTGTCATGGCAGACACCTATAATCCTAGCTGCTGGGGAGGCTGAGGCTTGAGAATCACTTGAACCCGGGAGGTAGAGGTTGCAGTGAGCCAAAATTGCGCCACTGCACTCCACACCCCAGCTTGGGCCACAGAGTGAGACTCTGTCTCAAAAAAAATAAATTAAATAAATAAATAAATAAATCATTGTCAAGACCAATGTCAGGAGCTTTTCCCATATGTTTTCTTCTAGGAGTGTTGTGGTTTTAGATCTTAACATTTAGGTATTTAATTCATTTTTAGTTGATTTTTTGTACATAGCCTAACATAAGGGTCCCATTTTATTCTTTTGCATGTGAACAGCCAATTTTCCCAATACCATTTATTAAAGAGACTGTCTTTTCCCCCATTGTGTCTTCCAGGTACCCTTGTTAAAAATTACTTGACCATTTTAGATACTCTTGCCACACCAAAAAAAAAAAAAAGTACTTCTGTGAGATGATGGGTGTTAATTTGCCTATAGTAACCATTTCACTATGTATATCAAAACATCAAGTTTTACACCATAAATATATACAATAAGAAAAAAATTCTAAGTGTATCTTAGTTATTTTGCCTAGCAATTGAATCAGCTGATTTCCTCATTCTTTTTTCTTTTCCTTTCTTTACTTCCCCCCTTCCATCTCTCCCTTCCTTCATTTCTATCCTTCCTTTCTATTTCTTTTTTTGTCTTTAGATAACCTAAGAGATATCTTTGACTCTCCAAATATCTGGAAACTAGATGATCTGAGAAACTAGTAACATTAGAGTTTTTCTCTTAAAAAAACTCAGTGAGCCTTTATGCTACCTTTATTGTAAAATACATGAATAAAATAAGGTTTTACCTTAATATGAAGTTATTTTCCCCCATCTGGTTTAGAAAGTACAGAGGCTCAGACAAACTCTCCTATCTCTGGGATTAAGTAAAAGTTTCCCTATCTGATTCCAGGATAATATTAACACGATAAAAGAGGATTCAGGAAAATATAGAACTCTGAGCTTACGAAAATTGATCTCCTGCCTCCTGAGGCTTTGGCACAAATAAAGACTGTGGCCTGAGGCCCAAATTGTACTCAGTCCTTACAAATGCCCTTGCAACAATTCAGTGTTGGTTTTCTTTCTTTTTTTTTTTGAGACAGGGTTGAATTTTTAAGACTTTATGTTGTCTGCTTTCAGAGGGAAGAAAGCAGAAAAATCACTGCTTTACATTTGAAAAGCTCACTTTCTGAAACAGCCGGTTCCCCACTGGGACAGCCAGTGGCTGGCAGTGGATTTGTAAAGGCATCACTCTAATAACTTGCTGACAAGATAAATACTGCTTTAAATTTAAGGCCTCTTTTGGGTCCTAAAATCTGTAAGTTGTTTGCAGTTATGAAAAATTTACAGAGGAAAGAAAATTTTCTTTTATTAAGAGCATTTTCTATATCATTGATACTCTGCTTCTGAATGCTTGTCCCCTGAAATATTTAGGTGACTTGTGGACTCTCAGTACTATGATAAATATAATTTGCAGGAAATGTTGTGATCATTTTCCCCACTCATTCAGACAATTAAATAAGCTTGGACTTCAATCATGCAATCTGTGAAGGTAAACATGCTTTGTTTTTGCAAGAATATTTTTCTGGACTACATAAAATTCAGATTTTGAACCAGTGAATTATGTCATTGCTCACAGATATGCCAGTTTCTCTTTAATACTGCTTACTTCATGCACTGAGGCATGACATCTTTCAGATCTTCTGAGCTAATATCACAGAAGTAACATGACCATAAAAGTGTTTCAAACTGAAACATTTTTGAGAATAAAAGGAGGCCCTATTATTCATGAGGGGACAACAGGCAAACAGGAAGACTTCCCTGAGCTATACATGAAAGATTGAGTGTTTAAAATCTGAAAGCAAATTAGTGAAAGGTAAAAAATATTCTTATTTATCCCACTGCAATTTTTAAAAAATAAAATAACCGCTTCGTATTGTAAGCATAATTTATTTTAGAAAAATTAGAAAATACATTTAAGCATATAGAAGAATTAAACACTTACACTTCCATCCCAGAGATCATCTTTTTTATTGCTTTGATGTATTCCAGAGCTGAAATATATACCCATATGTCACATTAATGTTTACACACCTGTGTGTGTATATGTATGTGTATGTATGTTTATCCACACATATACACATTGTTAAGCAGAATACCAGCACCTGTTGCCAATCCCAGGGGAGGACTCTAAACACCTTACTAATTCCTGCTTAGTTTCCTACATCTGGAAGGTTTTGCACAAACCCAGCTGTTAGAATGAATTCCAGTGATAGAGAACACTCTCACAGCAAGTCAGGCCAAGCAACGTTATGACTCACAGACAGCAAGAATCAACAGAAGCCTAGGATCCATGGTGAGCCAGTCCCCCAAGCCTGGGAAAAGCTGCCCAGGGCAGATGGATTCTTATTTACACACACTCCATTTCTCACCAAAGCTGAGGGACCCTGAAAGTATTCTGCTCTGAGTTTTACACATCTGGGGAAACTTGTATTGCTGACCCAAAGTATTGTAGGACATCCTGTTCTAGGAAGGATGAGGAGAAGACCTGGGCTATTCAAGACAGTTCTTTCTTATCTCAGGACACTGCATTTTCAGCACATTCTACAGTTACCCTGAAAACCTGAGAACCCCAAGTGGGAGGGGTAAAAGCTGGGTCAGTCAAGGTCATCTGGGGACTTGTACTCTTGCACACACTTATATTTACATTTTTATGCAAGGTAAACTCATACTGTGTGTGTTGTTCTGAAACCTGCCTTATTCTATGTCAATAAATTTTCTTCTGTAACAACTTGTAAGGCTACGTACCATTCTGTTATATGAACGTGTCATGATTAATTAAACAATCTCCATATCAAAGGATAAATTTTTTAAAATGATTCCCATATAGGTTTAAGTGAACATATGTTAAAGTTTTCTTTATCTCATTAATTAATGAAGAAACTAGTAAGATATTGAACAACCAGTTCAAAAATGACCTCAAATTATCCCACATTTAGTCACATTTTTTAAAATGCTGAAGTAAATTCACATATGGTTGCAAAACTGGTAAAACTAGTCAATGTCTACAGGGAAATAATCAATGCATTTCACCAGACACTATTAGTATTTCTATGGACAGTAATTATTTGCATTACTGTGAGTTTTCTACATGTGAACTTCTATCTTTATGAAGTCATAAAATAGCATACTAAAAAACAAATAATAGCTGTCTAGCTAGACAGGACACATAATAAATTTCAAAATCTTTCCAGTGTTTTTCCTTACAACCACATTGTTGTATTAAATGTTTCAAATAAATTGTACATTTGACAACTAAATCTTTTTAAAAATTTTTAAATTTAAGATAAATTGCTAGAAATGTGATGACTGGGTCAAAGAGTAGGCAGTTTTGGGCTTGGGAAGGTGGAGAGTTTACATACATGTGAAGACTTTTGATACATAGTACCAAATTGCCCTTCAGAGAGATTATACCATTCACACTCTCACCAGCAGCATAGGTGAGTGCCAGTACCGCTGACATACATACATATATACATACATACATACATACATACATACATACATACATACATACATAGCAAACCAGAGCTGGACAGTAGTTACAGTGGCAAAAACAGATTTTATTCAGGACTATTTCAATAGGAGAAAAGAAACCTCAGTATAGAACTGGGCTCAATTCTGAATATAGTATGGACAACTGGGGATTTACAGCCAAAGAACAGGGTGGGGTCAGTGGACAGAAAATACTAAGTGGAAACACCAGGAGTAAGGGAGGATTCTGGCTACACCAACTTGACAGGATTCCTGCTGTAATACCCTGTCCCCTGCCAGTGTCCTTCCAGGTTCCTGGTTGCTGAAACAGCAGGAGTCCCTCAAGGAATAGAAGAAATCATACCAGGGTTAAGTAATAAAAGCCGTAACTCAAGTCTAATCAAGACCTAATAAAATTATCACCTTATATCTAAAGGAAAACAGCACCTTTAGGCTTTTAGCCCAGATTTTTAAGGGACCAGGAGGGCCTCACAAGCTACATATTTCTGTTATACCCCAGTGTGTTAGTTAGAGTAACACCAAGTTTTGCCTTAGAATTAGAGGTTTATATTTTTCTATCGTAACAGTGCGATTATGGGTCAGTTTGGGGGTTTTGCTCCATGTAGTCATTCAGCACCCAAGATGATAAAGATCCTGCAATCGTCAACATCATGTGGCTTCCAGAATCAGTGTGCTTACTCCTTTTCTTTTTTTTCTGTTTTTTGATTTGGTTTGGTTTTTTAGAGACGGAGTCTCACTCTGTCATCCAAGCTGGAGTGCAATGACGTGACGATTGCTCACCACAGCCTCAAACTCCTGAGCTCAAGCAATCTTCCCGCCTCAACCTCCTGAGCGATCTTCCCACCTCAGCCCCCCAAGTAGCTGGGACTACAGGTGCATGCCACCATGCCCAGCTAATTATTTCTTATTTAAAAAATTCTTTTAGAGATAGGATCTTGCTATGTTGCCCAGGCTGAGCATGTTTATCTCCATTCTATTGGCAGAGGGGGTGAAATGCATGGAGGAGCATGCAAAAAAAGATTCTCTGTGCCAAATTTGGCAGAAGTGGTATACTGCTTTCCCTCAGAATTTGCCAAAGATCAGGTACACAGCCACCCAATTGTAAGGGGGGCTAAGAAATGTTATCTAGTTGTGTGTCCAAGAAGAATAGGAGAAAATGGATTTTACTGAACAAGTAGCAGTTTCCAGCACATATCATTTCTCGTAATCAGATTTCTTCAACAGATGTGAAATAAGGTAGGAAGTTGTTATAGAAACCACAAACATTTAGATAGATTGTTCCTTAAGGTAGAAACTACAGTTGTTTACCTTTGTATCTCCATCATTTAGCCCTGAGCCTGTTACAATGCAGTTGATGAATACATGTTGAAAGATTGAATGAATGAGTAACATCAGGTATCATGCATGGTTGAATGACTTGTAAAATAATGTCTTTATGGAGATATAATTAACATACCATTGACTCAATTAAAGTATATAATTCGGTGGGTTTTAGTATGTTCACATAGTTGTACAACTATCACGATAAATTTTAGAACATTTACATCACCCAAAAAGAAATCCCATACCCCATTGGTATGACTAGCAGTCATTCCCCATTTCAAGGCCACTCTCCAGTCCAAGGCAACCACTAATCTGTCCATGTGCTTATTCTAGATATTAAATAGAAATGAAATCATATAATATGTGGTTTTCATGAATAGCTTCTTTACTTAGCACAATATTTTCAAGGTTCATCCATTTTGTAGCATGTATTATCACTTCATTCCTTTTTATTGTAGAGGGTGTTCCATTTTATGGATATATCCTATTGCATTTATCTTTTCATCAGTTGATGGTCATTTGGGTTGTTTTGGAAAATAAGAATAATTCTGCTATGAATATTCATGTTCAAGTTTTTATGTGGATATAGGTTTTCATTGGTATGTTTTCTTGGGTATATACCTAGGAGAGAAATTTCTGGATCATATGGTAACTCTATGTGTAAACTTTTGAAGAATTGCTAGACTGTTTCCCAAAGTGGCTGCACCGGAGCAGGTGCAGTAGTTTATGCCTATAATCTCAACACTTTGGGAGGCTGATGCAGGAGGATTGCTTGAGGCCAGGAGTTTAAAAGCAGTCTGGGCAACATAGAGAGCTTCCATCACTACAAAAATTAAAAAAAAATTAGCTAGGCATGGTGGCACACGCCTGTAGTCCTAGCTACTTAGGAGGGTGAGGCAGGAGGATTGCTTGAACCCAGGAGTTTGAGGCTGCAGTGAGCTATGTTTGCACCACTGCATTCCAGCCTGGGTGACAGAGCAAGACCCTGTCCCAAAATAAAATAAAAGAAAATGGCTGCACTGTTTTGCATTATTGAGTGATTTCTTGAATCTCCAGTATTCACAAAGTGTCTGGTACCTACTGGATGGTAGATAAGTTCATTGAGTGCTAACAATGTGCCACACATTCTTCTAAACACCAAAGTTATGATGTGACAACATTCCTGCTTCCATGGCAATTCCAATCTAGTGAAAGGAGACAGACAACCACATAAACAAATACAATAGGTGATTTCATGTAGTGATAAGTGTTCTGAAAGCCATTACATAGACCTGAGTGACAGAGAGTAGCTGGGCAAATGTGGGATGCTCCTTTAAGCTCTGTCATCAGGGAAGGCCTCTCCGAGGAGATGACATTTGAGCTGAGACCTGAATAATAAGTTCTAGCCACATCAAGTTTTGGATGACAATTTTTTAAGCAGTTTAAGTGGTAATTCCAAAGCCCTAAGTGTTTATTCCTTTATAACAAATTGTGCATAAGAACCAATGCAGTAAAAAGCCTGAACTAACATCTTTGAAGTGAGAGATCATTGTTCCTACCTATGGGTAATTTATTTCTGGAAGACAGCATTCAACTAAAGACAACTCAGCTGCTCTCACACAGCAGTCAAGATCTAATGACTGAGTTGAGAGTTTCCACGTTCTCTCCTCATATTCACTCCTAAGCTAGGCCATGTCTCTGTGCACATTCCCACCCTATTCATGAAGGAGCCAACTGGGCCAACTGCTCTCTGAGGTTCATAGGGCTCTGAGGACAGTAGTTATCTTGAGTGAAGCACAGGCTCCTTAGAGCAACAGGGTCCTTTTAAGTATTAGTACTCTGCCATCAAAGGTCATCTGTGTGAAAGAATGCCAAATGCACAAGATACCCTCCCCTCAGGGCTGTCTTTCCAGAAATCAAAGCAGGATGTTACAATCTGAGGGCCACACAACCTCTTCTGTAAGTGGCTTGCTGTAGTCTCTTTCTATTATTTTATTCTCTCTCCTTTCAGGAGGGCCCTTCAAAATCCCACAGTGCTTAATCTAACTATCTCCCTCTGAGGGCTCTTTTTGCAGTGGAAAAGCATCTGAGGTCATTGGAGTGAAGCCTTGCTCTTGGAGGGAAAGGAACCATGCCTTTGGGAGGGATGTGTCTGTTTCCTGCCAAGACTTGTAGGAAAGCCTGTCAATAGAGAGACACCAGAGGAGAAAAAAACTGCAAACTGTCTGTTACTCCTCACTGAATATCCATGTAATCCAAATTGCACTATGGCAACTATACATGCCATTTGCTGTGGTCCACTATGACCCAGTTTCTTTGCAATTAATTTAGAGCCATTCATGGCTTCATTCATTTATGTAACAAATAGGCTTTTGTGCACTCCTACACACTTTGAACAGTGCAATGTCTAGACAGTATAGCAGTGAGCAGGACTGACAAAGTCCCTGCATTCATGGAGAATTATATACTAGTGGGGAAGACAAGTTAGCAAGAAAATTGCTAATAGTAATAAATGCCGTAAAGGAAATAAACTAGGAGGTAATATAGAAAGCAATAATTAGGATGGAGGGCCTACTTTATCTAGGATGGTCAGAGAAGACTTAATTAAGGAAGTGACATTTGAGATGAGACCCAAGACATAAGGGAGAGTGAGAGTGAGCAGGAGAGCTAAAGTCATGGGGACAGCCAGGGAGCCCAGCCCAGCCAAGGGAATAGTGGACACAAAGGAAAGGGCAAGAGAGTGAGCCGAGTGGGATTGAGGAACACAGTGGGGATCTGTGTTACTACAGCATGATAAGGAAGTGAAAGAGTGATACACGATGAAGACGCAAAAGTGGGCCAGACCATGTGAGGCCTCCTGAGCCAAGGCAAGGATTACAGGTTTTGTCGTAACTGCAATGGGAAGCCTTGGACACTTTTTACTTTGGGGAAGGTTATGATCAAAATTGACTTTTAAATAATGTCATCCTGCCCTGTGATAAAGGGACAAATGAAGCATATCTTCTCGTAATTTCTGACCACTAGTCAATTCCTATGTTTATTTTCTGAAATACGTACAGCTCTCAGGCTATTGAATCTAGCTGTGCCCTCAAAAGTGACTTACCTACTGAACAGAGGTATCATGAAGCTATTGACTCTGTTGAGTAGGCAGAGTTTTTCTTTCTTTCTCTTTTGAGCTTTTATTGAAGTATAACAAACAGAGAGAATAGTGAATAAGTTATAAGAATTTTTCAAACAGAACCACCTCTGTAACCAGTATCCAAATCAAGAAACAGTATTACCCACTCCTCAGAACAGAAATCCCCATCCCCATAACCTCTATTAGTCTACTTTCAAAATACAGAGTTCGAAGAATCTTTTCATTACATCATCCACTGACTAGCTGATTAGCCACACTAAGCATTAAAGCTCCTTGCGTGCCAAGAAAAATGGTAAGAAGGTCCAAAGAGCAAGCAATCCCATGAATAATACGAGGTAAGACCCAGGCTGACAGAAAGCTACGCTGGAGCTCCCTAGTAAGGCAGGAAAGCCTTTCACCTCTACTTCTTTTGTCAGGGTTTCTTTGGCTCCTGCAACATCCAGGAGGCCGCAGAAGATGTTACTCTTCTCTCCTGATGCAGCTCTGCCTGCCCTCCCCATCCTCCGTCAAGTCAAGACAATGCTGTGAAGGCAGCTCATAGGACATTGCAAACCTGTGTGTGGGAGTTTTAGGGTAGAGTGTTAGCTTATGGGCAGATTCTAGTGGAGGAAGATGTCTGTGCTATTGGTTGGAGGTAAAGCAGCCCTTTAAAAGCCACCACTCACAATAAAAAAACAAAATGGAAAAAGGACTTGAATAGACATTTCTCACGAGAAGAAGATACACGAATGGCCACTACGCACATCTATATAGCTGATGGTCTGGCTTTTATGCTACTTTCTCTAACATTGTTGGTCATTAGAGAAATGCAAATCAAAACCACCATGGGTTACCACTTTGCACCCACTAGGATGACAATAATACAAACAAAAACCAGAAAGTAAGTGTTAGCAGTGATGTGGATATATTAGAACACTTGCGCATTGCTGGTGGAAATGTAAATTGGTGCCATGCTATGGAAAATGGTTCCTCAAGCAGTTAAATGTAGAACTACCATATGAGCCAACCATTCCACTTCTAGATACATCCAAGAGACTTGAAAGCAGGGACTCAAACAGGTATTTGTATACCAATGTTCACAGCAGCATTATTCATAATAGCCAAAGGTGGAAACAAGTGTCCATTCACAGATGAATGGATAAGCAAAATATATTTACATATTATGGAATATTATTCAGCCACAAAAGAATGATATTTTCATATATGATACAATATGGACTACCCTTGAAAATATTATGCTAAGTGAAATAAGCCAGACACAAAAAGGACCAATATCCTGTGATTCCACTTATATGAGGTATATAGACTAGGTAAGTTCGCAGAGACAGAAAGTAGAAGAAAGGTTACCAGGGACTGGGGAAGGGGGACATAGGGAGTTATTTTTTATGGGGTACAGTGTTTGTGCTGGGGATAATGACAGAGTTTTGGGTACAGATGGTGACGGTGATTTCACAATATTGTAAATGTATGGCTATATGATATTTTAAATGTATTTAATGCCAATGAATTATACACTTAAAAATAGTTAAAATGATTAATTTATCTTATGTATATTTTACATTACATTTTTGTTTTAAAAGAAAGAAAACAGCCACTACACTTTGATTCCCTTTTCTATATAGCTGATGGTCTGGTTTTTATGCAACTTTTTCTAACATAACTTTTTCCCTCTTATTAGTCATCATGTTAACATGCTATCTTTAGAAAAATTGTTCACAGGGGGCCAATTTTGGAGAAAGTACTTTGGGGTTATACCCATTCCTTCCCTAACCTTACTTCTTACTCTCAATGGCTTCTCCCAGCAGGAGGGCATAATCTCAGCACTGTGGGTTAGTGCAGAGCACCCAAAGGCAAAATTTTCAACATAAAATCAGATTTTGAAGCTATGAGTTCTCATTATTCATATGCTGACAATAATGAATATATTATGCTAAGCAAAGTTATAAAAAATCATTTTTGGATTTTTAGGCCACGTGGGAGAATGGTGTGATTATATTTACATATATATTTCTAAAACAGAAAAAATTTCAATAAACTTTAGGAATCTTATGATGGACCATGTAGTTGGGCCACTTGAGAGGTGGGACATTGCCACCTTTTGTATCACAGAGGCCATCTTGTTACCAAACCAAATATCTTCTGTCCATCACAGGGAACCAAGAGACAAATTGAACTAGCTGTACTGTGAGCTGGCAAGATCACAGCATTTGCATACAATGCTTGTTTTCCCTGCTGAAGCTCTTAGCATTTAGAAAATTCAGGATTAAACAACTTGTTGCAGCTCAGAAGCTAATACTCTGAACAACTGAATTGTCTTAGTGTTTAAAAAAAAATAAAAACAACTTTGAAGTGATTAATTTAACAAATTCTGACATGTGCAGTGAATGAAGGCTTCCTTTCCTTACCCTTAATAAATCAGAATGTCTCAATTGAGAAAATCAAAGGGGAAGCAAGAGGTAGCCTTGAGGTAAAATAAACAGGTAAAGTAGGATAAACCTAGGCAAATGTATATTATAAACCTAAAGAGGAATCTATGGGCATGGAGTAGAAGCACAGATCTCAGAAGAGCCCTAGGAAATATTTGCTTATTTTTATAAGGAATGATTGGATTAATCAATATTAAAATTCCTAAGTTGTAGGTTAAAATAAAAAGGCATATTTAAAATAAATTAGTCACTGAAGGTTAGTAAATGAGTCAGAGTTTTGTTGATTGTTTAGTTGATTGACCTTAAGAAATAATTCCTTGCAGAATATTTGTATGTAATAAATTGCAAGGCCTAGGAAGCATGTTCTGCAGAATATGACTTAGAATCATTTTCTGGAGTTCTGAGCAGTTATGATGCACAAACAACAAATATCAGAGGCTGTGTTTCTCTATACACATGTGAAATAGACTGTTGTACTCAAAGGCAACCTAGAACAAAGTCGTAGACATCAGTATGGAAAGAAACTTGGGCTGGGGGATGTGCAGGGATGGGGAGAGAAGTGTGGAGTTCAGAAGAGGGAGGAAAGTTGAAGGACAATGTCAGCAGACCTTCCCAGGGACCTAATAAACACTGAAGCAGTTTTCTGTTTCTCCAAAGCTGAGACCTCGTCTGACTTCAAGGACAAATTGCTATTTCTCTTGCCACCTCGGCCCTCCCCCTCATCTAAACTATGACTTACTATCACCTAGAATTCCCTTAATTGCAGATAAAGACCTTTTTTCCATTGTTAGGCAAAAATACCATTAACACTTAAATATTTAATGGAATTAGCTACCTGGTATGAATGAAATCCAGTTAAGATTAAAAGATAACAGCAAATCATTCCCTTTTGGGATTGGGGCGATGATTTCTGTTCTGAGTAGAAAGCTGGAAGTCATAAGGCCCTTGAAAAGGGCAATGCCTTCTTTAGTAAAAGAAAATGGAAACATCAAGGGAAAGAGAGCCCCCCTCCTCTCTCTCTCTCTCACACACACACATACACACACATGCACGCACACACACGCGCGCGCGCGATCACACACACACACACACACACCCCTCTGCTGCAGTGGTACCCCCGCTGCCTGCATGCAGGCCCTGGCTTCCACTGCTTGTGCACACAGGGGCTGGAGCACCAGGATAAGGCACGTCCTATATGACCAGTGGGTACCCTCCACTTAGCCAGGTTGTGATGAGATCTCCAGTTCTTTATGTTCCATTCATCTGTGACCCTGGGAAGTAATTTTATCCCTCTAATACAGAAACACCTGGTAATGAAATGAAAACCTATCACAGAGTGTGAGCACTGCTCATAAAATAATGACAAATGATTTTCCAATTTCCTTTGACCAAGACATTTATTATTTTGTGTTATGGATTAACTAATTCTCTGATTTCTTTATAAATCTTTTTAAATTAAGAGAGCTCAATCTTATCTTGTAACAAGAAATTTATTTTAAAATAACCCTTTTATTATTTAGAGTACACAGACTTTTTAATGTAATAAGTGCTTTTTAATTATGAAAGTAATTCATGCTTATTAAAGAAAAATCAGAAAACACATGTAACTAGATAGAAAAAATACCCATTGTTCTACCATCCCATCACAAACACCTCTGTTAATATTTTCATGTCATCTTTGAAGCCTTTATTTTGGGGGCTCAGAAAATAATACCCCAAGTGTGGCGCTGTGGCATGCTGAGTACTTTAATCTGAAGGAGATTGGAAGGCTTCAGAAGCAGCCTCAGAAACAAAGTCCCTCTCTGACCTTCTCCTGCCCTTCTGTCTTCCACCCCTGTTTTTCCCCTAAGCAAGTTATAGAACCAGAAAAATTCTTCCTCCCCAAGGTGGGTCATAGAAACTAGAGCTTCTCTCCTCCAAAGCAAGTCATAAAACATAGAAAGGTCACTCTCTTCCTTCTCTCTTTTCCCTTGAAGACCCTCATTCCAAGGGGTCCTGCCCCATACCTGAAGGAAGGAATGCTACACAGAATCAAAAGAATCTGAACAGTGAGGGCTTGCTGGGTTTATCCCTGAGTCTGCTATTAGATCATTCCCTCTTCCCCAGTCACATTCTGCATAGCTGCCCTTTCTTCCTCAAACCTAAGCCTAAAAACAGTTTTCCCTGAGTCTTTGGGTCTTCATTTCTGAAGGCTCCCATGCCACATAAAACTTTGATTAAACAAATTTGTTATGCTTTTCTCTTGTCAGCCTGTCTTTTGGTATAGGAGTGTCAGCAGTGACCCTTTTGATGGGTGTGGAAAGGTAGCACACCTTTCAGCATCTACACTCTTCTTAAGTACTTGTTCTTTTAAAATAATTGAAGTCACACTGTGGTTATAATTCCCACACCTGCTTTTTATATGCTTAATATTTTATTGTAGGCATCTTTACATTGTTTTACAAGGCCTTTCTAAAAATACTTTTAAAAATAACTGCTACAGAGTCTAACAAGTGGATGTAAGGAAACATACCTCTGTAATTGGATAATTAAGTATTTAAATGCCCAGAATTTTGAAAACTAAAGTCTATTAAGGATTATAGAATAGTATTTCATTTTAATATTATATTAAAGATTATATATATTGTCTTCTTTTTGGTAGCCATGACATTTTAGGAGTTTTAATAATTGCTAAAAAATAAAATACTGACCCCTGGCCAGTAGAGTACTAAAATTATCTTAAATAATCTTCAGAGAGTTTATGTGTCCCTGGTGCTGTGAGAGTCCAGCAATGTCCTATCCAAGTTTTCATAAATGTTTTGTTATCTTAAATACGACTTTCCAATATTTCTCTTAATTCTATCCTCCAGGGCAATCTATATGACAAAAAGGAACAGAAGTGATTTCCAAAGATTTGATTTGTACGTTTGCTATTCTAAGCCAAGTAATGGCAAATATCATTTAAATGGCCTGCTATATAAAGTTATCTTTATTTTATAATTCAGTGGAAACAATAACTGTAGTTTGCTAAGACACTTAGTTGGAGCAAGCAAAAGAACAAAAGGAACCCAATTATGCAAATATGTGCCCCTTCAGAGCTCTTCCACCTTGAGGAGCTTGTCAGGAAATGAGAGAAGGTGGCAGATTTATAGTTTTCTGCCTCTCTGAGTGAGTAACCCTCCTCATAATTAAAATTAGACCTAATTGTGATTATCACTATTATTTTTCAACAATTAAGAATTGTCCACCTGATATACTTAAATGTTTCATGTTCGTCATTTTCTAATTCCTTCTGAAGACTTTTTCCCTGTTAAGATTTTACTGCCTAATCTATGGAAAGTCTTGTTTGGAGATTGGGACTCTTGTGAGGTCAAGGGACAAAAAAATCTAATTCTAATTTGCTTGAATTAAAAACAAAACAGCAAAAAAGAAACGAAGTACAAACAAAAGAGTAGAAAAACTGAAGGGTAGTGTGGACCTAATGTAGCTTGACTGGCTCAGAGGTAACTTAGGATCTGATTTCCAGATTTCTACATCTCTGTACTCTGCCTTCCCCTGGGTAAGAGCCGTTCTCAGACAAGGCTTTTCTCTCCTTGTGATTATTTAAGACATCCACCTCAGCTCTAGCCTTTGAACTTCTAGATTAAGGCATTTAAGGGAAGAGGTTCTTCCTATTCACTCAAGGGGAACCTGTTGTGTCTCCTTGACTCTGGTTATGTATCCAATTCTAAATCAACCACTTTGTTGAGGGTAAAGTTATGGGCTGATTGTTCCAAATCTGGGTCAGCGTGGAGCCATAGTCCAAGTGCTGCCCTCTTTCATGAATCCATCCCTAACCACCTGCTATGGGCTGAACTGTGCCTCTCCCAAATTTATATGTTAAAATCCTAACACCTCGTATCTCAGAATGTGACTGTATTTGAAGACAGGGTCTTTAAATAGGTAATTAAGATAAAAAGAGGTCCTATGGGTGGACCCTAATCCAAAATGACTGGTGTCTTTTAAAGAAGGGATTAGAACACGAAGGAAAATACTATCTGGAAGACACAGGGACAGGACAGCCATCTACAAGCCAAGAAGAGAGGCTCAGAAGAAATCAACTCTGTCAACCCTTGGATCTTGGAATTCTAGCCTCCAAAACTGTGAGAAAATTAAATTTCATTGCTTAAACCATCTAGTCTGTGGTACTTTGGTATGGCAGCCTTAGTAAACTGACAGACAACCCTAGTCAGAAGTGAGCCCTTTTTCTTCTAAACTTCCATTGTCTTTTTTGGCCTTTCTTACTTTCTACCTTGTGTTTCAATTATGCATGTATGTGTGTCTCATAACTCTCCTCCCAGACCATAAGGTCTTACGCAAAAAACCTTAGTCTAATTCATTTTCGAACTGCCCACATCACACTCATTAATTCATTAAATGATTATCATGTGCATACTCTGCATATACAATAGTCTTACTAGACCCTCAATAAATATATGCTAAATAAATGTGACTCCAAAGAAACAAGTGACTGACATCAATCATTATGAAATATCAGTGCTTAAAGAATGCATGATCAATTGGAGAACAACAACCAGGAACATATGGACATACCCTTGAGGAGAGTTTATGCCAAGAATACCAAGAACATGTCATGCTGACTATAGCATTTTAATATTTTCATGCTGCTTATTCCTATAGGGCTGGAAGCTCAAGTGATGTGAGCAGGTCATTATTATAATAAATTCCATGTCTGACCTTAGCCAGAATTGTACAGTGCTGAGTGGAAAGGAGTTTAAGAACTTAGTTGATGCATTACCTAAATAATTGGATTTCTCAGGTAAGGATATTAACTGTTTATTTTCTCAGAATAAATTTAATACACAGGCATCCACAGATAATAAAAATGCTATCATGTGGTAGACATTAAATATATATTTATTCAACCCACTTGTAACAGACATTTGTTGTTTTGAGCCAATCAGCATTCAGTCCCCTCTAGTTTAGCTACAGTATTCTTATTTCCTCAGGTAAATAAGCTCTTTTTCCTTTGTATGCATTCTTGGTGTAACTTTATTCAAGGTGCTTCATCTTTCTTTGACCAAGAGCTGGGCATGTCATTCAAGCTAGGCCAAAGTTTCTTTTCTCGCATGTCTTTGAATCTTGAATGGAGTGGGACAACTGTGAAAACAGTTGGTTTTGATTTGTTTCAGTAGTTGCATCTTGCATCTTAAAAAGACTGTCTGCTTTTATTATACAGATGTCCCAGAAGTCCTGAATACTGACTTTTCTCAAAACCAGTTCCCCTGCCTTCCAACCATTTACTTTTTCTAATTACAGCTACTACAGCTGGTGTCTGTTGATTTTAATTATAAAAATCTTGATTCAGAAATAATCATATAGCTGGGCGCAGTGGCTCACACCTGTAATCCCACCACTTTGTGAGGGTGAGGCAGGAGGATCACCTGAGGTCAGGACTTGAAGACCACCCTGGCCAACATGGTGAAACCACATCTCTACTAAAAATACAAAAATTAGCTGGGTATGGTGGCAGGCACCCGTAATCCTAGCTACTTGAGAGGCTGAGGCAGAAGAATCGCTTGACCCTGGGAGGCGGAGATTGCAGTGAGGTGACATCGCTCCATTGCACTCCAGCCTGGACAAGAGTGAAAAGAAAGAAAAGAAAGAAAGAAGGAAAGAAGGAAAGGAAGGAAGGAAGGAAAGGAAGGAAGGAAGGAAGGAAGGAAGGAAGGAAGGAAGGAAGGAAGGAAGGAAGGAAGGAAGGAAAGAAGGAAGGGCACTTATCCAAATTCTCAGCAGCACTATTATAAACTATTTAGGACAATAATTTATCTAGTTTTCTTATAGGAGTAGATATCATAATTAACTTTGGGAAATCCTAGTGTTTGAACATCATTTATATCAGGAAATAATTCCTATCTAACCTGAATATTGTCTATAAAAAGTTAAAACCATAAGTATTGAAGAAAGAACACTGAGAGGTGGGATACTTCATCACATTATTGTAAACATGCCAGTACAAGTTGAGGCAAGTTTGAATCCATCTGGGCATCTTTTTAAAATTTAACAATGCATAAGTATGTACTCCAGTTCTGTTCAGATTATCACTTCTCAGCTCTACACCTCTTCCTCTCACTAAGCTTTTAATTATAACCCACTATATTAATATCAAAGAGCTAAAATCAACAAGTTATGGCATATTATAATTATTAGCCCTGTACTAGCAGTCATTTAAGGACTGTTTTTTCTAGTCTTTATCACAAAACATTAAACTGATGAGAGATTATCCTCTTTGTTTGTTGTGAGATAAGCATGCAGGATGTGTCCCGTTTGTGTTAGCAAGGATGGGGAGACGGGAACCCATACACAGTGCTGGTGGAGTATAAATTCATATACTTTGGGGAGTTACTTGGTTCAACTAGAATGTGAAAAATGTGCATATTCTATGGACCAGTATATTTGGGTACTGGTAAGTTTTACACAGGCCCAGAGACATGTTTATTGTAGCATTGTTTATAATAGCAAAAATTGGAAATAAACTGTGAGTCCCACAATGAGAAAAATGGGTAAATAAAATATAGCAGACTGCTCTGCAGATTAAAAAACGAGGCAGACTTATTTGTATATAGCATGGATAACTCACACACACAGTGTTGAGTGAAAAAAATCCAAGTTGCAAAATTATATATAGATCAACTAGAGTATGATACCAGTATTATAAATTTGATAAAAATTACAGAAACACATTATATCTAGATATGCATACATATGCATATGCATGTGTATAAAAACAAAAATGGTTTGCAAGGCAATTCATAAATTTTCTAGCATTGCTTCTTAGGATAGGAGGAAATAGTACTGGATGTGAAGGAAAGTGAACACTTCAACTTGACATGGAGTGTTTTACTTTTTAATTTTACATTGTTCTTTAAAATAATTTTGAAGATATTTCAAAAAATTATTAAAATTACCAGTTTTCTGTCATGGCTACATTGGTATAGCCAATTACTTTTCTGTAGTTTTTGTTGTTTCAAAACTAAATGTTTTCTCAAGTTCACTACTATGACACAAGATGCTTGATTTATTCATTCACTCTTCAGCAAATATATATTACTTGTCTGCTATGTATACGATACTGTCTGGTACCATAGTAAGCAACAAAAATGTATTTAAAAATGGTCCTATCTTCAAATATCTTGTAACTTTAAAAGTTCTTATTGGGAAAAGTATGTGTAGGTTCAGGTATGCCTCATTGTGGTGATATTTTCAATAGTCTTATGATATGAAATTGTTACAGTTGTCATGAAATTACATGTAGGTGGGTTTCACTCTATGAAAACATAACAAGAAAATTACCACTTACAAAAGATTAAATTAGAGTGTGATTGACACTTTAAAAGAGAATTATTCCCTTCTCAAAAAAATGATTCATTGTAGGCCTTTTCTCTGAACATACAAAATGTGATGGTATATTTTAAAAAGTCACCTTACGCCAACCTTTTTGGGCAACACATCCATTATATAAAGTAAGGTATACCAGTATAAGACAGAGACATTTCACCTGAGAGTATTTTCAGGGGGTATACAATTAATAAGTCAAGCACACGTAGAAACTTGTAGATGAGGACCTTCATTGTAGCTCCATTGTCAGCTCTGGGTCCAGGTGGATAAATTTGATCAAATATCTTCTGAAAACCCAATGGGAAAGCATTCCCTGGGATGTCTCTCCATTACAACTTTGTCTACAGTGGGGAAGGAAGGTGAAGAATAGTAAGCCGAACACTGTCTCTCAATGAGACAAAAAATGGTAGGCCATGAGTGCTTAAGGGGTGTAAATCAATGACATCCTTAGTTCTGTTTATGAATGTATGACTTGTGCTCTTTTGTTTTTGCTCCCTTTTCCCTAACCTCTTTTAAAAGTAATCAACTGATAATTGACAGGCACTGCCTAGGTTTTATTTTTGTGAGCAATCCGTGTCCCAAGACATTTCTCTAGGGACCTTTGTTACACTCTTCTCCCTGGTATCAGGAGGCAAAGGAGAATCTTAGCCTCTCTCCTGGGTCTGGTCACTGATACCCTTGGCTCAGGCAAAGTGGACTTTGAGTTAGGAGTCACTGAAAACCTGGGGAAAAAAAAATCTGTCAACTACAGTGTTCCTTGACATTCAGACATGTTCTGTTCCATGGGGATTTCTATATTTGGCCAGACCGCAAGGTATTGAGGTAGATGAAACAGAAGAGATCTGAAAACTGCACGCTGAATTTCTCCTTGAGGTCTTATTTCTCAAAAATATGAGGCAATTTAAAATGTATGTGAGAAAAGAGTATTTTTGAAACTTTTCAAAAATAAAAGAAAGATCAAGAAGTGCTTTTAACTAATATGTATTAAAGGTTATTTGCCTGCATAGATAAGACGGTCTTGTTGCTAGGCAACGGAGACACCGAGACAATGGTGGGCCATGAAGGTAGAGGAGCTCATGAGTGTTTTAGTATGAATTCCTGTCACAATAGGAGCCAGGCTAACAAGCTTCTCCCAAAATGGGAAATGGCAGAAATGACGATATGATGGACAGAGAGGTGAGGCATCTGGATTTTATTTGTCTAACATACCCAGTTTTTGTATGATGTAGTTAATACTTTTATTAATGTAAAATGGCCTGTTTATCCTAGTAGGAATTTTTCTAACTTTGCAGCTTGTAGTTGATGACTCTGTTAGTGGAAGGAGTTGCAGAACTTCAGATAACAATGTCTAATATACAGATAGTTCTTAGAGAACTACCAGGGGCAGAGGCAAAGCTACATTATCTTAGCACTGTGAATATGGTGTATTCAGAAGGAAAAACAAGGGCTCAGTCCATCACTCTTCTATCAAAGGAATTTAGTTACCACTTAAAAGTGAAATTCATTTGACAGGCAATGGCAGATGTTAAAGTGTACTTTGTATCATAGATTTTCATAAGAGCATAATATTTTTCATTTTAAGGATTTAAAGATTTTGAATATTTGGTATGCACATTTTTATTCTAGATCACTCTAGTCTTCTTGTTTTTTGTTTTTTGTTTTTTTTTTTTTGAGATCAGGTCTCTGTCACCCAGGCTGGCGTGCAGTGGCAAAATCACAGTTCACTGCAACCTTGTTTTCCTGGGCTCAAGTGATCCTACCAGCTCAGCCTCTCTTGTAGCTGGGACTACAGACATATACCACAATGCCTGGCTAATTTTTTTTTTTAATTTTTGTAGAGACAAAATCTCACTATGTTGCCCAGGCTGATCTCAAACTCCTGGCTTCAAAAGTGCTGGGATTACAGGCATGAGCCACAGCACCCGGCCAAGATCAATCACTATAGTCTTTAGAATTCTTATTTTATAATTTCTACTACTAAAATGTTGTGTGGGAGGCAAAGAAGATAAGTTCCCTTCTTCCCCCTACCCCCACTTCAAAAAAAAAAAAGAAAAGAAAAGAAAAGAAAGACCAATGGAGAATGTGAACAGAGGACTTTTTAATTATTTTGAGACAGAGGAGCAAAGCCAGTCAGGAAATGGTTGAAATTGTGTCAGAGGCCTTATAGCAACTTACTTAAAAGAAACCCTACATTATAAGAATTGACTATATTTATTAATTGTCAATAATATACTCATTACACAGGAATTATTTCCTTATTGTCTTTATTTGAAGACTTCAAAATGCTAAACATAAAGTAGCACTTTACTATGGTCATGATTTTTGAGGTGTATAGATTGCAAAAGTATCACATTTTACGCAGGGTGGAAGTATCACATGGATATATTACAGAACTTCAGCTCAATGCAAAACAGTACCTACCCAGATTTCCCACAAAGTGTGAACATAATAAGGCATGTGTCCCACCTTCATACTCACCCCTTTTCACATAGAGTGGCCTTAAGTTGAGTTAGATTCCAGCGTGATTCAAACTGAGTTGTCATGCAATGGCCTGAGGCTCCAGTGATTCAGAAGAGCCTGTGTGGATGACTACAAAGAAGAACCAAAACAACAGAAAAAAAAAGTTCCCTACAGCTTCATTTATCATTTGACTTCACATGATTTATTTATAAAGGATCATCATCTCAATTCCACTTCTATATACATGCATATTCAAAAGGACTGAAATCAGAGACTTGAACAGATACTTGCCCCAGTGTTCATAGCAGCGTTTTATTTGTGATGGCTAAGGTGGAAACAACTCAAGTGTCCATCAGTAAATGAATATATAAACAAAATGTGGTATATCCATACCTTGGAATATTACTCAGCCTTAAAAAGAAATGAAATTCTGATACATGTTGCAACATGAGTGAACCTTAAAAACATAGTAAATTGAATGTCAGACATGAAAGGACAAATAATATATGATTCCACTTGTATGAGGTACCTAGAATCATCAAATTCATAGAGACAGGAAGTAGAACAATGGCTCCTAATGGCCAGGTAAGTGGGGAATATTGTTTAATGGGTACAGAGTTTTAGAATGGGGTCATGAAAAGCTCTGAAGATGGTTAGTGGTGATGGTTGCACAACAATGCGAATTTACTTAATGTCCCTGAACTGTGCACTTAAAAATAGTTAGATGGTAAATGTTACGCTGTGTATATTTTACCACATGGAAAAAACAATAATCATTAAAAAAATTATATAATTGCCTCACCTAATTCAACATTTGAATTTCTCCTTGCAGGAATTATGCCCCCCTGCTTTTTCCTTTCTGACCTCAGGTTCAAAAATATAAAAGTGTCATTGCAACATGCCTTAATTTAAACTCTGGTAGGATATTGCAAGATCAGCTCAGCAATTTTCTCTCCCGGAAATTTCACCTTCTGTTGCTTTCTTGAAACATTATTTATTTATCCATTTACCTGATAATGCCAGCCACATGCTTAGGGCATCATGAAGACATCAAGAGAGAAGCCTAATTCTTCCTGCCTTGGTTATAGCTTGTAGGACAGATGGCATGGTATAGACGGCAGGTCCACAGACTGGATGGATGGCCTGATCTTCATTCCAAAGTAGAATGCAAGTCTTGGGATTTTGATTCAGTTATAACATACCATGGATGAGTCTAAGTTTCTGTTATCAAGGAAGAAATGAGAGGCCTCTCAGGAAAATAGTTAAGCAAGGAGAAGGGAGAAAGTATCAATGGTGTCTAGGTATGGTGTGCCCAGACAAATAGGAAGAAGCACTCTTAATGTCATTTGACATTACACCTGTTCACAGTCAAGTTTCTTACTAAGGAATTAGTAATGTGAGAAGCTTCATTTCTCAGCTAGAGGACTATCTACAACCTTCAGGCACCCTTCAGACTTCCAGCCATACCCTTTGCAAAGCAGCACTCTCCGTTGAAGTCAGATCTAAAAATAGACTGTTTGGTGGAGGGAGGGCGGGGATAGGTACTCCAAGTTTGGTCTTTGAATTAGATCTAAGATGTAAGAAGCAAAGGAAGTAAAAAGGGCTGATGGGCTTACTTTGAAGAATAGCTTGAATTATCTTCCAGATTTACATTAGGAATCCTAATTTTAGCTTACGCCTGTTTCTTACCTCCTATCTTGACTCCTAATTGGTAATCCAAAGAGTTTTCTTTTATTCACCTTTAAGCTCCTACTGTTTCTTTATGTCCTGAGGAATCTACAGACAAATGGGACGTCATATTAAAAGCTGTGTAGCCAGTGATTCTGGGATATATTATGATCAATTTTGGTTCCCAAGGGTTCATCTCACATCAGTGGTTGTCCAAACTAACCTCAAGTCCTGGAAATGTATTGGTAAACTATTACTTGAGTATTATTATTTTACAAGCCACCTGCTATGCCTCAGAGTTAGATACTATTCAGAGACAGTGATCTTTCAATTCTCAGTGGTTTAATTTCTATCTGTGGGTACATATCCAAGAATAGAACCATTTTTCAAGAAAGACAATTAGTATGGATCATCAGGTTTTTATTTGTTTGTTGTGGGTTTTAAAAACTTATAATATTTTTAAATGGAGCTTTTGAAGGAAGTCTATTTCTATGAATTTTAACACGGACCTTTAGGTTTTGTCATTGGCAGTGCACAGGAGCTGACTCACTAGTGCCACCGTTGGCACATAATAAATAAGTGGATAAAATCTTTGGAAAGTTAAAATGTCCCCAATAGAACATGTAAATGTAGTAGAAGATGATAAAAATAGAGACCTTAAGTTCTATGGAATAGATCTATATCATGTATGTTTCAGGATTTATTTGTAATAGAATTTCAGTAAATATTTGTTAAGCAGACAATAATGTATGTTCGTAAGAGTGTAACAGAAAAAGATCACAGAGCAGAGTCTTTGTTTTCTTAAGTTACTACTACCCAGAAGAAATACACACATGAAACATTAGAAAATATATCAGAAAGGGGCCATAAGAGAAATGCAAATCAAAACCACAATGAGATACCATCTCACATCTCACACCAGTTAGAATGGCGATCATTAAAAAGTCAGGAAACAACAGGTGCTAGCGAGGATGTGGAGAAATAGGAACACTTTTACACTGTTGGTGGGACTGTAGACCCACAACCATTGTGGAAGACAGTGTGGCAATTCCTCAAGGATCTAGAACCTCAAGGATCTAGAATACCATTTGACCCAGCCATCCCACTACTGGGTATATACCCAAAGGATTATAAATCATGCTGCTATAAAGACACATGCTACGTATGTTTATTGCAGCAGTATTCACAATAGCAAAGACTTGGAACCAACCCAAATGTCCATCAGTGATAGACTGGATTAAGAAAATGTGGCACATATATACCATGGAATACTATGCAGCCATAAAAAAGGATGAGTTCATGTCCTTTGTAGGGACATGGATGGAGCTGGAAACCATCATTCTGAGCAAACTATCGCAGGGACAGAAAACCAAACACCTCATGTTCTCACTCATAGGTGGGAATTGAACAATGAGAACATTTGGACACAAGATGGGGAACATCACACACTGGGGCCTGTCGTGGGGTTGGGGGAGTGGGGAGGGATAGCAATAGGAGATATACCTAATGTAAATGACGAGTAATGGGTGCAGCACACTAACGTGGCACATGTATACATATGTAACAAAGCTGTAGGTTGTGCACATGTACCCTAGAACTTAAAGTATAATAATAAAAAAATTAAAAATAAATCAAATATTTTTTAAAAAAGAAAATATATCAGAAAGGATACAATTAAGTTCCCAAATCAAGAGAACAATGCATAAGGACTGTGTGAACTCAGAGGAAAAGTCAATGTGGGTCAAATTGAGGAAATTTCCCTGAGAAGGCAGGAATCGGGGGAAGTCTTCTAATATTATATTTGTGGATGAATAACCCCATTCCCTTCCCCTGGGCTCTGAGCAACGTAGAACAGATATCAAATTTATTCTTATACCAAAAGCTACCCTGACAGTTGGTTCCAGTCACCAGCCAAGAAGGTAGCAAGCCCTGGAGTAAAATGCCTCAGAGAGGAATAGGCCCAACTTATTTATTACTTTAAATCAGTTGGCAAAATGTAACCAGAGACAAGCAGCATTGCAGTCTCTGAGAGGCTTTTAAAATACAGATTCCTGAGCCCCAGCCCAGACCTACTGAGTGAAAATGTCTGGGGTGGAGCCCAGAAAGCAACAGCTTTCAAAGCTCCCAGAGTGGTTATCTGTGTAAGAGAATCAAGTTTAAAAACCAGACTAGACAGAGCTGGGGGAGAATGGCAGAAATCTGATGTAGTCAAGAAGTAAATAAACATTTATATAGTCTTATTGACAACTGAAGCACTGGCTTGTTTTGTGTTACTTTGTTATCTTCATTCCAAAGAAGCTTGGCATTGTCGAATGCCTTCTTTGAGGCCTCTGTATGTGGTTAAGGATAGAGTCATTCTCTGGCACCTCACTGTACTATGGCCTGTGATATCTGTGCTTCCCAACATGTTTGTCACACGACACAGAAGGCTTCACTTGGGATGTTAGCTTATTATTTGGCATCTTTTCCTCTCCTGGTTCTTGGCAGGAACCATAATTCAAATTATGTCCTCTCTTATAATTGTGTTAGATATTACTGTGTCCAGCTGGGTCTACCTTATTATTATCTACCTAACTGAAGACAGCACTACCATGCCTTGAGAGGGTGACTATTTAGCTTCTGAAGCTTCCATACTGGGTACAGATACTGCGCTACCCCAACAAAAGGTCCTCTATAAGGACTTTTGTGGTCCAAGCATAGATCGCTTTGTCTGTAAATGCAACAACAAGGGCAGGGAACAACTTGGCCCGCAGCACAAGGGCAAGGCACCTCCGCAAAAACAGAATGCCGGGAAATGAACAAGAAAGGTTCTTAGCTATTATGAGCTTGTCAAAACCTCTGCTGGAAGAGTTGCCAAGTATTCCTCCTGACCTCCAAGACTGAAATAAGGACATGGAAGTAATAGAATTCAAACTTCTGCATTCTCTGGCTCCTAAAGAGTATAATACTACCTATAACTCAAGGACACTGCAGGGAGGAAGGAGGGCACAGACACAAAAACACCATTGATATTCTTATGCTCCAGCCAATGCTACTTCATAGCTAAACCCTCCCTTTACAATGGAATTCTTCTTTTTGTAGCTTTCTTATCATGAAAAATTTCAATCTTATAGAAAAGTAGACAAAACAGTATAATGAAGATCTATGTGGCACTACATCAGCTTCAACAAATTTCAACTCATGGCCAAGCTTATTTTATCCCTACCCTCACCATTTCTCCCTTCCTGTATTGTTTTGAATCCAGTCTCAGATGTTATATCATTTTAATTTGTAACTATTTCAAATGTGTGTTTTTAAAAGAACTTAAAAATGACATGACAACAATGCCATGATCACATGTAAAATTAACAAGAATTTCAAATGTCCTGTCAATGTTCAAATTTCTAATTTTTACATATATGTATACAATTTTTTTATAGTTTTTTTGGGTCAGAATGCAAATATGGTCTGCACATTACAGGTGGTTGATGTTTTTCTTAAGTTCTTTTAACCTATGCATTTCTCTTATTTTTATTCATTTTTTTGTTGAAGAAATAATCATTTGGCCTATATGATCAGTGGTTTAATGCACACATATCCCCTGGGAATTTGTTCTAATGCAGGTTTTGAGTCAGAAAGTCTGGGGTGGGCCTGAGATTCTGCATTTTAAAAAGCTCTCAGTCTATCTCAGGCAATGCTTTTGCTGCCATTCGACAGACCAAACTTTGAGTATCCAGCTTATAGCATATCCCACAATCTGGATTTTGCTGACTGAATCTTTCTAGCGTATTTTAACATGTTCCTCTGACCTTTACATTTCCCATATTGGTAGTTGAGTACAAAGACTTGATCAAATTTAGGTGCTTTTTTTTTTTCTTTTTGGAACCACATAAAACATAATGCTTGGTTGTCTCTTTCTTTGTAATGCTAGTAACTTGACCTTCAAGGCCTATTTTCACTAATTTATTGGGGGGTATAAAAATATTACCATAAAGACAAATTTCCCCTCATCTACCACCTACAGGTATAGTTCCTATAAGAATCCCAGAAAAAAAACTTAATTATTTTCATTTACCAATTTTCAAAATAATAAGTTGGTTTACTAACATCTTCCAATGGTGACCAATTAGGGTTTGGATTTTTAAAAAATATTTCCCTGGTGGTGATTGTTGTTGTTGCTGTTATTTTAAAATTCATTACTAATTCATGGATTTAAACATATTTCTTGCATCTTAATCCATTTCACTTGTTACCTTCATGTGAAAGACTCTCCAGGTTGGCCACTGAGTCCTTTTGATACCACCCTAGTAGTCTTTGAGTGCCTCATTGCTATTTTGTGTAACAAGATATTTCAGGCTTAACTTGTATATTACATTTCCTGACCCAGATCTGCAATCAGCCACTTCTCCAAAGACTATTATTGTTTCTTTTAGTGGAAATGTATTTAATGATGATAATCTGGGTTCTATGGTGCTTGTTGTCCCTAGGTTGGTATAATGGAAACTTTGTAACCACACAAGTACATGCTTTAATATTTTCAGTTAGAAATGCTGCATTGCTCATAAAATGCTGCTTTTCTACTGAACTTGATTTCAGAAAAATAATATAAATAAAAATGTTACTGATTTGTTTTATTAAATGTGCCATGCAAACAAAAACATGATTTTTATGGTGAATACTTTATAATAAAAAGCCAGGAGAGACCTCGGAAAAATAACTTAACCTCTTCCACATCCAATTTCATGATCTGAAAAATACTTTTCTCACAGGGCTGTTAATAACAAAGCTATCATTTACCAAGCAGTTACTGCGAGCCAGACACTTTACATACACTTTTTTTTCCAGTTAATCCTTATAGCAGTTATTTTCAAGTAAGTGGTGCTTGCCTCATTTTATAAATAGTAGACTTTCCCAAGGTGACACAGCCAGTTATGTGGCAGAGTCAGTACTTTAACAGGTCTCTCTGGCTCCATGCTCTTAACCTTGAGTATAGGGTGGTAATTACATGAGAGAATGAACGTATGGTGCCTCTGGCCCAATGCCTGACAAATGGTGTTCAATGGAAAATAAATGTCAGGTAATAGAAGTGGCCTTGGTGGGTCTGTGCTTGGCATTTGGGATGGGAGATGGGAGAGCAGACGGGGAGAAGAGGCCAGCCAGCTTTCTGCTTTACCAGGCTTCTGGCCCGTTGACACTCCATCTTGCTAATTTCCCATGTTGGTTCTAACCTATGTGTCCACCATGACAGATGCTCTCATGTCAGAGCTCAAGGTCAGCCCTCAAGAGTGCAGGCTGGCACCTTCTGTCATGTTGTCTCTTAAATCTACTCAGCAAGTGGCAGTAGTCTGGAGGCAAGTCTGCCTTGGCCTCTTCCCCTTACATCGTGCGTCATTAGCTGCTCCATGGCTCTTTGTTCAAAACAAAATTCACAAAACTGACAGATTCATCTGCTAATGTCGGGAGACATCAAAGCCAATTACAGGAAACTTCCAAAAGGCAAATAGGGTCACTTTTCACAAAATGGGATTAAGGAAAGGAAAATAGTCTTGTCATTAAAAAGGACAAATACATTTTCCCCTCAGCAGGCTCACCCTAGGAAAATAGGGAGATTTATATGAATACATAGTTTCATTATGATTGCTTTGAAAAATTTCAAATCAAAGCATCCACCCCACGTATAGCCAAGCTATCATTAACCATTTTGAGCTAGTGAGCAGTATTTTTCACTGTAGGTGATATCTTCATGATGATGAAAATTTAGGTGTAAAGTGCAAAATTTTGGCAGTCATTCAAGATAGCAAATAATCACATACATTGTTTTAAATCACCTGGAAAGGAAACTAGTTGGCTGTTTTTTTACTGTTTTGTTTTGTTTTTGAGACAGGGTCTAGCTCTGCTGTCCAAGCTGGAGTGCAGTGACATGATCTCAGCTCACTGCAATCTCCACCTCCCAAGCTGAATGCATCCTCCCACCTGAGCCTCCTGAGTATCCGGGACTATAGGCACACTCATTTATTTCTTACAAACACTCAAGGAAGCAGGTCCACCTAGTAATACTGATGTATAGATGAGGGAAATCAAGGCTTAAAGTGACTGAATTGATTTCTAGGTATTATTTTGTATTATTAGTAGCTGTTATAAATGGGATTGCTTTCTTGATTTCTTCTTCAGATTGCTCTCTGTTGGTGTATATAAATGCTACTGATGTTTGTATGTAGATTTTGTATCTTGCAACTTTACTGAATTTGCTTATCAGTTCTAAAGTTTTTTGGTGGAGTCTCTAGTTTTTTCTAAATATAAGATCATATCATGTGTGTACAAGGCTAATTTGACTTTTTCCTTTCCAATTTGGATACCCTTTATCTCTTTATCTTGCCTAATTGCTCTGGCCTGGACTTCCAGTATTATTGAAGAAAAAGTGGTAAAAGTGAGCATCCTGAAAGAGCTATACAAGGAAAAATATAAAATACTGATGAAAGAAATTGAAGAGGACACACAAAAAATGAAAGGATATTCCATGCGCATGGGTTGGAAGAATTAACACTGTTAAAATGACAGTATCACCCAAAGCAAATTATAGGCTCAATGTAATTGCTATCAAAGTACCAATGACATTCTTCACAGAAATAAAGGACCCCAGTAGCCAAAGCAATCCTGAGCAAAAAGAACAAAGCTAGAGGCATCACACTACCTGACTGCAAAATATACTACAAAGTTATGGCAATTAAATCAGCATGGTACTGGCATAAAAATAGACATATAGATGAATGGAATAGAATAAAGAACTCAGATATAAATCTATGTATTTATAGCCAACTAATTTTTAACAAAGGTGCCAAGAACATACAATGGGGAAAGGGAAGTCTCTTCAATAAATGATCCTGGAAAAACTGGTTAACCATATGCAGAAGAGGGAATCTAGACCCCTAGCTCTCAACATATACAAAAATCTAATCAAAATGGATTGAAGACTTAAGTCTAATACCTGAAACTATGAAAGCACTAGAAGAAAACATTGGGGAAATATTCCAGGACGTTGCTCTAGGCAAAGATTTTTTCGTGTAAGACCTCAAATGCATAGATAGCAAAAGCAAACATGAACAAATGGGGTCATATCAAGTTAAAAACCTTCTTCACAGCATCCTGGCTAACACGGTGAAACCCCGTCTCTACTAAAAATACAAAAAAAATTTAGCTGGGTGTAGTGGCAGGCGCCTGTAGTCCCAGCTACTTGGGAGGCTGAGGCAGGAGAATGGCATGAACCCGGGAGGTGGAGCTTGCAGTGAGCCGAGATCAAGCCACTGCACTCCAGCCTGGCTGACAGAGCGAGACTTTGTCTCAAAAAAAAAAAAAAAATCTTCACAGCAAAGGAAACAATTAACAAAGTGAAGAGACAACCCACAAAGTGGGAGAAAATATTTGGAAATATTTATTTTATAAGGGATTAATAACCAGAATATATAAACAGTTATATATAAACAACTAAATAGCAAAATGTCGAATAATTTGATTTTAAAATGGGAAAAGACCTAAAAACACATTTCTCAAAAGATGGAACAAATGGCCAACAGGTACATGAAAAAATACTCAACATCACTAATCATGAGAGAAATGCAAATCAAAACTATAGTCTCAACCCAGTTATAATGACTTTTGTCAAAAAGACAAGGAATGACATGCTGGTGACGATATGAAGAAAGGCGAATCCTTGTACAGTGTTGGTAGGAATGTGAATTAGAATAGCCATACTATGGAAAACAGATGGAGATTCCTCAAAAAGCTAGAAATAGAACTAACCATATGATCCAGCAATTCCGCTATTGAGTTATGCCTAAAAGATAGGAAATCAATATATCAAAGAGTTATCTGCGTTTCTGTGTTTATTGCAGCACTATTCACAATAACCAAAACATGGAATCAACCTAAGTGTCCATCAACTGATGAATGGATACACACACACACACACACACAATGGAATATTATTCAGCCACTAAAAGGAATGAAATCCTATCATTTGCAACAACATGGATGGAACTGGACGTCATTATGTTAAGTGAAATAAGCCAAGCATAGAAAGACAAATATTGCATGTTCTCACTCATACATGGAACCTCAAAAAGTGGATCTCATGAAGATAGAGAGTAGACTCGTGGTTACCAGACGCTGGGAAGAGTAGAGAGGAGTGGTAGGGGATGAGGTGAGGTTAATTAATGGGTACAAATATATACTTAAGACCTGTTGTTTGATAGCTCATTATAATTAACTATAATTAACATTAATCAACTGTACATTTCAAAATAGCTAGAAGAGAACAAATGTTCCTAGCATAAAGAAAAAATAAATATTTAAAATGATGGTTATCCCAGTTACCCTAATTTGATTACAGGAATGTATCAAATTGTCAAATGTACCCCCAAAATATGTACATCTAATATGTATCAATCAATAAATAAATTAATTAAAAAGTGACAAAGTTGCTCAACATTGTGCACACCATGGGTGGAATAACCTGGGTGACAGCCCACTGCGGAATGGCTCCACTGCCTTCCCTCATGGTGCACTGCCAGCAAGAAGATGTGGCTGCCATCATGCTCAACTGCACAGGACACCAGGCTTGATTTATCTGAGAAGGCTGCTTTCTGGAGCCTGGAAACATGGCAGCCCTGAGGGAGAGGCCCAACCTGGCAGACTCGCTGTGCAAATCAAAAGGCAGGAACTCTTGGGACTACTTTTCAGAGCAAGAACCGGCACATGTAGAAAACTGCAACAGGTGAAGCAAGATGGTCCTCAAGAGGAGTTGCTCAAAAACAGGCATCAACTAGACAGGATTTTGGGGTATAAATATGTACTTAGTTTAAATGGATTACATTTTAGGAGGCTGACGGTATTTATGAAGAAATGTGTCTGTTAAAACTAGAAATATGGGACAAAAGTGTTGGTTTGTGTTGTATCTATTCTGTCTGCAATGATATCTGTGCATTTATGGATTTTTCCATAGTACTCAGCTTAACGTAAAAAATACCAGAACCTTATGCAATGATGATTCATTGTATTTGCTTTTAGATATTTTTCCAAATCCATATTAGGCATTTCTTGAAAAAGGGCAATTGAGCAGATTTTAAAGGTCTTACATTGAGTAATTAATTTGTCTCAATCACTATGCTAGGCAATATAGGGTGGGCAAAAACAAAACAAAACAAAAAAGAATGAAAAGAAAAGTGCTGAGGAACTGGGAAGGGGTGGCAGAGAATTTGAGAAGGCTTCATGTGGGAGGTAACATTTAGACTGGATCTTGAAGGATGAGTAGGAGCTTTAATGAGTTGGGTGAGAGGGGAACAAAATGAGAACGAACACAAAGTTTCTTCTCTTGTCTTTCTTTCCACCCTTCTGTGCAGTTTCCTCTTTGAAGTCTTGCATGTAGTGTGCAATATGTGTGGAATCATTAATAGTAGAAAGATTGAGGTTCAGAGCCACTAACCCAATTCCTACGTGCCACACAGTAAGAGGCAGCCTGTGGCTAAACTCAGGTCCGTTTGTTACTAAGCCAAAATATCAAAGGGCTGCCTTTTATACTTTTCCCAATCTCACTCTCTGGATCTAATAATAAAAATAAATGAAAGAAGACAAGATAAAATTTATTTATCTTTTCTGTATTTCATCCTTCACTCAGGTTTGCATTATGAAGAGCAGCTGATTGCAATCGTTCTCATGAACAATTTAGATTTTCTTTTTTATATAATTAGGACATTAATTTTGTTCACTTTTCATACTAAATGGAATAGTTTTAAACTCTAAATCCTAATACTATATTTTAGCTTTTAAAGTAAGTAATTATATGTCCATCATAAGTCATACTTATTTTCAAATTCACTGATAAGTAAAACAGGCTGGGTGTGGTGGCTCACATCTGTAATCCCAGCACTTTGGGAGGGAGAGGCGGGCAGATCACTTGAGCCCAGGAGTTTGAGACCAGCCTGGGCAACATGACGAAATCCCGACTCTATAAAAATTGGTCAGATATGGTGGCGTGCATCTGTAGTCCCAGCTACTTGGGAGGCTGAGGTGGGATGATTGCTTGATCCTGGGAGGGCAAGGCTGCAGTGAACCAAGATCACACCACTGCACTCCAGCCTGGGTGGCAGAATGGGACCCTGTCTCAAAAACAAAACACACAAAAAATACTCAAACTTTCCCCTTTGGAGTTCTGGTAAAAGAGATGATATTAAGGCATCACACTGTGAGCCAAAAAGGTGTTTATTCAAGTAAGGATCTTGCCCCCTGTGCAGGAGCATCACTCTTGCTGCAGACTGTGAAATGTGTGCTGAGTTTTGTTCTGGCGTAAAAACACCATGAAGGATGACACCACCCATGAGATCCCTTAATGAAAATGCAGTTCCCAAAATAACGCAGCTTCTTGTCCCCTCAGCTGAATTCATCTAGGGTGCTGTCTTGCAGCACTTTTATTATATACTCAGACTACCCCTGGGGTGAACAAGAATACTATGAATCAAGGCTCTTCTGTTTTCCAGTCATTGGCTTGGATGTGGACTGTGTTTCAGCCCTTGGGCAAAACTTTTCATTCCCTCAACATTTATTAGCCACTACCACCCTCACCCCACCCCATGTGCAACCACTGTTACTATGTCTGGGGCCTCAGCAAGTAGTCGAGCATATGACGATTATTTTTGTAATGAGACTTTTTAAGCCAAAAAATTGATTTAAAGCCTTATTTCACATTTCACAGGAAAAATTCTCTCATAGACTTAGATCAGGCAAGGAGACATCAAATCCCTGATACTGAACTGATGGTGATGGGACACATTCTGATCTCTAAGCTGATTCAGAGCTGAGGGCTGGCAACTCCTGGGGAGCACCATGCATATACTAGCACTCCAGTATGACAGGCACCCCTGGAGTTGGCAGTGGGGTGCCCTGCAAGTGAGTTTGGATCAGTAGGTCAGGAAAGATCCGTTAATGAGAAATGCATGACTCATGAGGATAATGTCATAATTACAAATCAGCAAGGCAAAAGAAAATATTGCAATGCTAATGAATATGAAGCCTAGTGCCAAATTGTCATGAGTTCAAATACTGGTTTATGTATGTGATCTTGTGCAAGTTACTTAACTCCTACAGGTCTCATTCTTGTCATCTGTATGTGGAGTTAGTAGTAGCATCTAATATATATAGGGTTTTAATGAGGATAAGATAGCATTTGTAAAGCAAGTGGACACTCTCTGACACATAGTAATTATCCTATTAAGTGTTTGTTTAACAAATTATAAAACACATTTGATTGGTCATCCTGCAGATGCTTAGCAAAATTAGACATGAATCACATGGCCAAGATTTTTTCCTGTCTATTCTCAAACACTGAAGTTGTTGTAATGCTATCTTACTTCAAATTAGAATGACTTTCATTATGTTTTACACATTTGCCATACTCTACAGTCCTTTAAAGAGAGAGTGAAAACAAAACTCTATATCAATTATAATGATACATGTGTATAAAGACATAAGTGTCAGCCAGGCATGGTGGCTCTTGCCTGTAATCCCAGCACTTTGGGAGGCCATGGTGGGCCGATCACAAGGTCAGGAGATCAAGACTATCCTGGCCAACATGGTGAAACCTCATCTCTACTAAAAATACAAAAATTAGCTGGGCATAGTGGCACGTGCCTGTAGTCCCAGCCACTCGGGAGGCTGAGGCAGGAGCATCGCTTGAACCCGGGAGGCGGAGGTTGCAGTGAGCCGAGATTACACCACTGCACTCCAGGCTGGTGACACAGCAAGACTCCATCTACAAAAAAAAAAAAGAAGAAAAACAAGAAATATATGTCTTTTACTGCATTGTTTGAAAAATTAGAACCAATTAGAAGTCTATCAGTGGAAGATTGAATAAATTGTGGCATACTCATAAAACATAATAGTAGACATCATTTAAAATAAATGAATTAGCTCTCCATGAGACAACAAGGATGCATTTCTAAAACAAGGATAAGCCATGAAGAAGCCTAGGAGAATATTTACAGCATTTACAGTAAACCTTCACATAAAATTTAAAAACACATGAAAGAAAGTCATATACTATTTTGAATACACGCACACATAGAAATGTGAACCAAAACAGGAGCCTAAAAGATACATAACAAAATCAAGATGATAAGGCTGGCGTGGTGGCTCATGCCTGTAAATCCCAGCATTTTGGAAGGCCAAGGCGGGTGGATTCTTTGAGCCCAGGAGTTCAAGACCACCTGGGCAACATGGCAAAACCCCATCTCTACAAAGAAATGCAAAAATTAGCTGGGCTTGCTACTCAAGAGGCTGAAGCAGGAGGATCACTTGAGCCCAGGAAGTCAGGGCTTCAGAGAGCCATGGTCACGCCACTGCACTCCAGTCTGGGAGACAGAGAGAGACCCTGTCTGAAACAAGCAAACAAACAAAAACACCCCCCACAAACAAAAACAACAACAAAAAAACAATATCAAGATGATCATTTGAGGAAGGAGGGATGGAAATGAAATCTGGCAGGGACAGAGAGGGGACTTTTATTTCATCTGTAAAATTTTCTTTCTCAAAAAATAAAGATCTGAGAAAAACACAGCAAACTGTTAACATTTATTAAATCAGGGAGGAGGACAGATTATTCTCTAATCTTTTTACTTATATTTTAACATATTGATAATAAAAATAGTAAACAGAATGCATTTAATTGCCAAACTGTAATTCTAAAGTTTCCATCCATGGATTTTATTACTTCTCCCAGTTAATTTAAAAAAAGGTGGGGTGGATTTCAAAACATTAGCATATTACCAGCTGTACTGGTGTTTCTTATAGATGGCCCTGTTTCATGAGGTTTGGGTAGTGCTGGCATGGGGACTCTAAGGAATGTATTTTCATTATTCTAGAAAGAGTTTTAATGGTCTGTTGCAGATCAGCATTAATGGGAGTCATGTAGATAAATCCCCAAGCTGGCTTTTCAACGGTTGCATTTTTTGCTTAGCCAAAAATAAAAAAGCCTTCCTCTTGCCCTCCTGAATAATTCTGCTAAGCAAGCATGTTGTCTATTTTCAGGTACTTCAAATGAAACAATATGGAAGCATTTATTTAGGGTGTTTTGCACTGCAAACTTCAGCAGAATGGCAAGGCAACTAATCATTCCTTTGAATCTATGTAATGAAGAACACTTTGAATATGTTATTGATTGATGGAACAAACAGCACCATAGCCCATTTTTTCAGTGCTATGTATTGAGATGTGGCTGGTGCGCTCTGAGTCTGGCAATTCTGTGTTCACTGTGTAAATTAACTGGGACAAGGGTCTGTGACTTTAGAATTGCAGTGTGAAGGTTAAATATGCCATTGACCTTTTTATGTCCAAGGTACAGTGTATTATGTGTAAAATGTTCACCAAATTAATTTTGTCACACGTTGTCTACATTCTAACTAGAAAACAATTCTCGTAGGCTGAAACATGAATGTTTCTAATAGATATATTTTCAGTGCCTCAATTGCAATGGGATTTAACATTGCTGAGATTATTAAACATGAAATTTATTTATACATTTATGTTATTTATTGACTGCCTGACATGCACTGTGGGATCTGGGAATAAAGTGACTACCAAGACAATTCTGCTCTCTCCAAATTATTAATAATCTAATGTGTAATAGAGTGAAGAAAGTAGGTAATTATAAGACAGGAGGATAAGCACCATGTATAAATAAAGGGTGTTGACTGGGCATAGTGGCTTACGCCTGTAATCCCAGCACTTTGGGAGGATGAGGCAGGCGGATCACAAGGTCAGGAGATTAATACCAGCCTGACCACATGTAGAAACCCCGTCTGTACTAAAAATACAAAATTAGCTGGGCGTGGTGGTGCATGCCTGTAATCCCAGCTACACGGGAGGCTGAGGCAGGAGAATCGCTTGAACCCAGGAGGTGGAGGTTGTGGTGAGCCAAGATCGCGCCATTGCACTCCAGCCTGGGTGACAAGAGTGAAACTCCATCCCAAAAAAAAAAAAAAAAAAAAGGTGTTAAGGAAGCACACAGCAGGAAAACCTAGCCCAGTCTAGGGTACTAAGAGTATCAAGGAAGGCTTCCTGGTAGAAGTGTGTATGCTGAGACTTCATTTGGAGACAGAAGGAAGAATAGTCCAAGCAGAGGAAACAGCACATGGAAAGGCCCAGAGACAAGAGAAAGCGTACTTTGGGCCAAATGTTCAGGTCATTTCTTTGGTATGAAGAGTCTTCACCACTCTGTGGTTGTATCTCTTTGGGATTCTTAGCTCGAGTCACCATGAGAATGGCCATTGAAAATTAATCATCTAAAAGTCCTAGTTTTGATCCTCAGTGCAATGCACAGGCCCCCACCCAAGACCAGTTAAATCAGAATCTCTAGAAGGGGGGCTGGTCCCAGGCATTAGGACTTTTCTGGTTTTTTTTTTTTTAGACGAAGTCTCACTCTGTTGCCAGGCTGGAGTGCAGTGGCGCCATCTCGGCTCACTGCAACCTCCGCCTCCTGGGTTCAAGTGATTCTCCTGCCTCAACCTCCTGAGTAGCTGGAACTATAGGTGTGCACCACCACACTCAGCTAATTCATGTATTTTTTAGTAGAGACAGAGTTTCACCACGTTGGCCAGGATGATCTCGATCTCTTGACCTCGTGATCTGCCCGCCTCAGCCTCCCAAAGTGCTGGGATTACAGGCGTGAGCCACCGCGCCCAGCCAGGACTTTTTAAAAGCTCTCCAGATGATGTGAATACGCAGTCAGGTTGAGAATCACTGATTGACAAGACAAATCCTGACGAATGTGTTGATTGTCAAACATGTAAGGCAAGTCAGAGAGGCAGAAGAGCTGTTCAAAGACTGCCAAAATGATCTGGCGGTGAAGAACTGACCTTGCGGATCACATCTGCCAGCCTTCTCATGTGCAAAACCATGAAAAGAGTGACTCATATTCTAGCACTGGCTCTTGACATATTCAGACAGTATTTCACTTTTTTTTTGTTTTCAATTCATTGATTCATTCACTCCAAAACACTTAGCTAACCCTTGCTATATGTCAGTATGCTAGAGGCTATGGATAAGTATATGAGTAAGACATTAACTCTACCTTTGGATAAAAGCACCCAGTCTAGTGAAGAGTCAGTAATCACAATCCTATGAAAGGATTAATCAGAGATGGATGTGCATTACCCAGTTGGGGAAAGGGCTTAGCCAAAAGACCAGAGAAGGGCTACATTTTGAAAAATGAATAGGAGTTTGCAAGATGGGGAGCGCAGTTCCCTGATACAGAAAGACTTTGTGCATGCTTGAAGGCTTGAAGGCTATGAGAAGTGTGGCTTGGAAGAGTAGGCTGGCAAACTGATTTGACCACCAAAGGTCAAGAGACCCTTCTCTCCTATTGTCAACTGGCCACAACTCATGCTTTGACAGTCTGTATGTAACTGAAAGCTTTGTGCTCACAAGTCTTCATAGGGTTGGAAAGACCACCTCATTATCATGGTCATTGGAATACAGCTAAGAGCAGAAATAAGTAGCTCTGATTCTGAGAGTGGTCCAAATACAGCTGAGGATCCAATGTTCTTCTGAGGCTTTGAGGACCAGCTGAAGTACATCTCTAGGACTAAAGATGTGTGTCACTGTTTAGGCAGCCTCTAAGATGGCCTCCAAGGATCTCTGCCTCCTGGTATTCACTCCCTTATGAAATTCTCTCCCCTTGAATGTGGGCTGGACTTATTGACCCTTTGTTAAAGAATACAGTAGGGTAGAAGTGTCACTTTTGAGATTAGGTTATAAAAACCTTATCTTCCATCTTTGGTGTTCTCTCTCTCTCTCATTGTTTGTCCTGGGACAAAACAAATGCCATGTTTTGAGGCAGTACTGTACAAAGGTCCTTGGGGTAAGGGACCAATGCCCACCCACAGCCATGTGAGTGAGCTTGGAAGCAGGTCCCTCCCCAGTCATTTCTTCAGATGACACTGCATTCCCGGTTGACAACTGGCTGCAACTTACTAGGAGAACTTGAGCTGGAGACACTCAGTTAAGCTCTAACCTGGTTCTTGACCCACAAAAACTGCGAGATAATCAGTATTTCTTGTTTTAAACAGCTCTGTCTCTGGATATCTTGTTACACAGCCATAAATATGGTATATAGTCACCATTCACTAAGTTTCTGTACATCTACATCCTCTATGAAGACCCCACAGGTTGGCTACAGAGAATTATTATTGTTCCTGATCATGATTGCCCTGCCTTGAGAAATAAGGTTTATCTCAGGCCTGAAATATATGTAAAAATAAGAATGAAGAACTAAGAGATTCAAAGTCTGTTCTTATGCTACCAGTTTAAAAATGCAAGATGGTGAAGATTATAGTTGTTGGCAGTATTAAAAGTGTTGTCAAATGGCACTCTTTTTCATCTGAGAGTGATGCCCCAACTTGCTGTCTCTTCCCATCACCCACAAACCACTAGAGTGCATGCAACATTCAAAGCTGATCAGGAACTCAGGATAGCATCTCAGAGTCTTACTACAGATCTGCTGCCAAGCACAAGCCTTTTTCTGTTTGGTTCTTTCATTTTTATCTATTTTATCACAATCCTGAAATTTAGAATGATTTGGAATGTTGTGTTTATGCAGCCTTTCTGGTACACCTTTCCTTTCATTTTCATATGATGTAATTATGTTATCCTTCATTTATTCACACACAAAAGATGTTTTGCATGGTAAGCTTATAACCTGCCCAGTCTTACTCTGGCATAGAAAGTAACTTGAAAAGCCAAAATCTGCAATAAAGTTAATTTGCTAAATAAAAACATGTGGGTATCTGATACGTTGATTTATTTGTTTAAATATTTGGTAAACTTTAGGTTAAAAATATATAATGTTGCAACATATTAGAATTCTTCTAAATGTACAATTTATTCTATTTCAGGAACCTAACCCATTTCTTCTTAACTTTGTAACACAGGAGAAGAAAACCTCCTGGCAATTTTACGACGAAGATGGTGGAAGTACATGATTTTGGGACTCATAGACCTGGAAGCAAATTATCTGGTGGTCAAGGCTTACCAATACACAACTCTGACCAGTATCCAGGTACCCATGGTTCTTCTTCCCTTCTCAACTTCCTCTATCCAGATGTAGTTTACTTTCAGTTTAGTCCTTGAAAATCTCTATACTACAAGTTACTATCTGTATACTATACTATAGTATACAGACTGCAGTATACAGATTCTGTATACTATAAGTCTATGAGTTTTGCAACAAGATGGAAACTGGTTATATAAAAATTAACTTGAACTTTATTTATATGTCTTAATAATCCTTTAAATTTAAGTGTAATTGGACATATGTTTTCTCTTTGTTTTGAATATATTGCAATTACTATTGACAATGTAAAAAAAATTTGTGGCTTTGAATGCTGTCAACTAATCTTATGTTAGCAGGAGAATTATTAATAAATATAAAAACAAATCAATTTTAATCACAACTTATAACTTTTTAGAATGTTAATAGACTTTGATTAAATAATCAAACTGCTTAATAATCTTTTCTTTTAGCTTTTTTAATGTGTAGAATTTGCAACCTGAAGGGACAGGATTTTTCCTAAAGGGACAAGGAGTCAATTCTTAAAATGTGTTATGCGTGAAGATAGCTACTGTGTTTCTTTCCCCCTTCTTCCCTCTCCTTCTCTTTCTCACATGAACACACACACACACAATTGCAAGTTTACCTTCGCTTTTCACAATTTTTGACAGACATATATATTCCTCATTACACTGTAAATGATAAACTTAACTATTTTTGTTTCATCTTCACTTCTTTTTATATGGTAATATTATTAATTCCATACCATTGCAAAGCTCTAGGATAAAACACAAAACAAAACATTGTTCTCATATTAGATTTAGTTTAGCTTTGATACTTCCTGCCATCTTGTCTATTTGCTTACGAACAATAATGACAAAAATGGAGAAACAAGCAGCAAAGCACTTGAAAAAATTAGATGAAATACAGTGGGTGGGAAACTATCTACACCTGACTTAGTTTTCCTACCATCTGATTTTCATATGAACTTCAAAGATAGCTTGAAATGAAAGTAATTAATGGTAGCATTTTTCCAGGACCACCTCCATATGCACGTTGTGTTCCAAGAGCTTTTGTGGGATCAGATTCCTAGTCAGGTGCATATTGAAGAAAATAGATAACTGATAAGGGAGACCTGAGCCTGCCCGGTCACTTTAATCCTTAGCACCCTGTGACTTTTAGACTGATGTTGGAAGAGATACAAGGCAATAGCCAGATGCCTCATGAGACTCCAGAAGGAGTGCATTCTGCCTCTTGGCACTTGCCTTTTTAAAAATTTCCTTGTATGAAATCCTTTCTCTCCCTTTTAGAACTTTCTTTTCTCCAGTTTTTAGAGCCCTGCTCTCCCTAAAGTTGGCCTTTTTGTTTCTTTTTCATCCTCTCCAAGATGAAAAAGAGACACAAAATGCCTCCATGCACAATATATAACATTTCTTTATGTTAAAAAATATATTGGGGGATACTCATACTCTCTATTCTCTATACATTGTCAGTGCTATTAGGACATTTTTAAGGACCTTGAAAGCAAGAACTATGACTTTTTTAAAGTTAATTTATAAATCTACCTGGTACAGCATCATGCATAAATTAGCATTTAGACATAAACACACCAATTATAAATATGATTAAGCCATCACCTAGGACTCCCCCAGTTACATTTTCTTTATTTTGCGCAAGACCTCATGAATTCTAAGAAAACACACACACACACACACACACACACACACACAAAATGGTTGCAAATTCCAGAGGGAGAATAATTCAGTGCATAACTTTTTTTTTCCTTTGTCTCACTTTGTTACCCAGGCTGGAGTGCAGTGGCAGAAACATGCCTCACTGCTGCCTCAACTTCCTGGGCTAAAGCGATCCTCTGGCCTCAGCCCCCACAAGTAGCTGGGACTACAGGCACATGCCACCACACCTGGCTAATTTTTGTAGTTTTTCTAGAGATGGGATTTCCCCATGTTGCCCAGGCTGGTCTTGAACTCCTGGGCTCAAGAGATCCGCCCACCTCAGCCTCCTAAAGTGCTGGGATTACAGGCATGAGCCACACGCCCAGCCCGTATGTCTTCTTTAACAGCGATAGTTATAATGTCCTTCATATTCACCTCTCCATACAATAAAGCTTTAAAATGGAAAAACCTTTTAGATACGTCGTAGTTGCACCAGTAATTTGGTATGCTGTGTGCAAATGAAATGAGTTTCATAAAATTGGTGAATTTACCACAAATGTAATTTTGAAGTCTTATTGTATATTTCTATGATACATACTAATACACTGAAAAAAATTATGGAAATAAAAATTATTGGCAGTGTTCTCTTTATGTATATCAACATTCATTATTCAGTGCAATCTGAAGTTCTCACTAGAAAAAAACATTGTTTCTTTCCTTCCACCTCCCCTCTTCCTTTCTCATCTTAGAAATGGTATAAGAATATTTCCCACTACAGATGTCCCATAAACACCTATGTTTCTCTCTCTTAAACACACACACAATTTGCTACATTTTTAAAGTTAATACCCTGCTCAAGGTGTTTCTATTACTTGGAATATCCTTTTCGTCTCCATCCCCTACCTAATGAAGTCCTATTTATTTCAAGGACCTCTGTACCTTAGGATGCTTTCAAATTATGAATAACGGAAAGCCCAGCAGAAACTGTCTTTTGATAAGCCGGGCATACAGTTGTGCACCTCTGTAGTCCCAGCTGCCCAACTACTGGGGAGGCTGGGGCCAGAGGATTGCTTGAGGCCAAGAATTCAAGGTAGTCCTGGGTGATATAGCAAGATCCCATCTCTAAAATAATAATAATAATAATAATAATAATAATAATGGGAATTTATTGATTCTCATAACTGGAACATCTAGTAAAAGGATGATCTTCAGGATAGTTGGCCAAATGTCTTAATAATGTCATCAGGGACTCATTTTTGTTTTTCGTTTTTCCCATCTTTCCCCTCTACTGTCCCTTCTGCTAGATTTATGTTAAAGCAGGCTCCTCTCATGGTCATGAGATGGTTTTTAGCACAAATTGGGAGTACATGTCCTTCTTCCTTCATGTCCAATGAGAGACAGAAAAGATGCTTGCCCACAACCATTGAATAAAAGTCTAGCACTGTATTCTGATTAGGCCACACTAATGGCCAAGGGGAATGCTGTGAGTTAATTGGCTTAGACCTGAAGTATCTGAATCAATAGAAGAGGAGATTTCTCTCACTGATTTAGCTGAACATTTCTCAATAGAAGTACTGCTGGCATTTTGAGTGAACAGTACCCACTGATAGAGTCAGGGTGGGATCAACGCCATCCGGTCACATATCTGTCACCCATTAAGGGAGAGGTGAGACAGATGGATGCAGGAGGAAAAACCACAATGTCTGTACACCCAGTGTAGCTCCCATCTCCCATCAACAAACCCCACAATGAGAACAAGTCTCTCTCTCTCTCTCTCGTCTCCCGAGGTGCTTTGCTTTTTAGCTCTATTTGCAGTCTTTTACCTGAGAAGGATGTTTGCATATTCCCATCTACTCCACCAAACTGTGAGCTCTTTCATAGCAAGGATAGTCTCTTGTTCACCATTGAATCTCTAGTACCTAGAGGAAACCCCAGCACATACTAGATACTAAATACATGTTTGAAGAAGTTAATTGTATACATTGATTTCCAGTATTTTGGTGCACAGGAGCTCCCAGTGGTCCTTTATCTATATTTAGAGGCCCCCAGAATGTTCATAGAGGTAGGATGGGGAAAGGGAGGGAGGAATGTTAGCTTCACACCAAAACTGGACCCATTAGCCCAGAGTCAAAATGTATTAATGGACCTAAGGGGGAAATGAGGAGTGACTTTCCTGTTTGGAACCATAGTTGGCTTTTTTTTTTCTGTTAAGCATTGAAAAAATTACAACAAATTGTTTCTTAAGTTCAGTGAGTTTTTTTTTAAGTTTTTTTAAGTATGTTTTGCCTGTGAACAGTGACAATTTATTCTTAATAGCTGGTCCCCTGATCCTCAGGTAGTTAGTTCAAACCTATGTTCTATACCTGCCACTATATCCATCCTGCCATCTTTCTCAAGTTAGCCATTTGACACCCTATTTAATGCTGCATTCTATGAAAACGTTTATTTTAATTCTGTAGTAAGAAAAATAATTTCAGTGAAATATCAATTAGTCCTCACTGTAATTTACTGAGCAAGGAACAGGGAAGTAAAAAGGCAAGTTGAATCTAACAGTTCTAGAACCATTTTTCCACCTATAACAAATAAATCTATTAAATAATAAGTGATCAGAACAGAAGGCATTTCCTCTGTGAGCCATGTTTATAGTGCTGTTTAGTAATTTAGTTCTGTTTACTCACTACAGATTTATGGAACTGACAAGTACCTACTACAATTTTCCCTTGTTTCTATAAATATTAATTGAACACATAGTATGTGTTTTACTCATATTAATCCATAAAGAAGACACGTTTATTTAGCTTCTGAGAAATGCAATAGTTACTGCAGGTGATATAAAGAGAAATGAATCAGCCTTGCCCTATGGGAGCTTATGAACTTCTAAAGGAGATAAGAGACACAGCTTAATGATAGTAACACCAAGTGTGGCAAGAGAGCAGACACCTAAGTGCTATGATTTTCAAAGGAGGCAGAGATGATAGTTGAAGAAAAGTCAAGAAAGTGTCCATTCAGATGGGTCTATGAGGTTGGATAAAAAGTGGAGAGGATAAAATGTGGGTATAACTTTGCATATGAAACAAACCTCATAACAGAAGCCTGGAGTCCCAAAACTCAAGGAATATGATTGGAGAACAATTATTTTCATCTGATTAATACAGTCACTTCAAAAGTAATTACTGAATACTTCGTGTTCAAGACACTGTATTAGGTGGTGAATGTATATGTAAGCAAAAATAAATACTGTACATATTCTCACAGAACTTCCAGTCAAGTGGGAAAGGCAGCTTTTAATCAAATAACCAAACGAATGAAGACATAATCAAGAATAAACATTCTGAAGGAAATCAACACAGTTCTCTGGGAACGTTTGTCAAAGCAATCTAACCCAAACTGGAAGGTTGGGAAAGATTTTCCTGAAGAACTGATGGTGGAACTGAGTAGATTAGTTGGAAGGGAAAGAGATTCAGGCTAAGCAGACAGCGTGTTCAAGGCCCTATGTTGGGATGGACCATGGCAAGGATGAGGTTCCGAGCAGGGTCGTGTCTGGGCAAGGACACCAAAGAGAAGAGTGGCACAAGATGGCGAGACAAAGAGGCAGGGATCAGCCCCCACAGGTCTGGGTGGCCATTTCAAGTGTTTGGGTCTTTAGGCTAGTACCACCAGAAGCCACTGCAAAATTTTTAATCTGCAAGGTAATGTGACACATTTGAGTTTCAAAGACCATTGTGGCTGGTATGTGAACAGATTGAAGCAATAGGTACTCTAAAGGGAATAGAGGAAGTGAGAGCCAAGAGTTAAGCTGGGCCATATTGTAGAAGGTCTTCAATGCCAGAATGACTTAATGTTGTAGGTAAAAGAAAACCTGAATTTTTCTTAGGAAACAAATGATAGGATGTGACCCAAGCACATTTGTTTTAACAAGAGAGATTTCATTAATAATTGGCAGAGCACCAAATGCTCTTGTTTTCAGATTCTCTCAAAAACAGAGATGTAAACAAAAAGGCATAAAGAGTCACTCCTTGCTCTATCCTCTTGCCCTTTCAGTTTCTGCACCACACTTATGGTTAAATGTCACAAACAATTGATATATGAAGCTTGAGAGGAAAATGTATATATATTGCTGCAATTTCATGTGAATCTATAATCATTGTAAAAATATAAGATCCTTTGAACCCTTCACATAGCTTTCCCCAATGGTGACATTTTCTATTACTTTAGAATAATGACAGATCCAGGATATTGACTGCAGACCTTATTCAGTTTTCATACATTTTTACCTTCGTGTGTGTGTGTGTGTGTGTGTGTGTGTGTCTGTGTAGTTCTATGCACTTTGGTCTCATGTATAGATTCATGTAACCACCACTACAATCGGGTACAGAATTATCCCATCACCACAAAGGAAATCCCTTGGAGCTACCCCTGTGAAGCCCATCACCTTCATCTCTGTCACTGGCAACCACTAATCTGTTCTTCATCTATACAATTCTTTCAGCTAGAGAATGCTATATAAAAATTGAATTTTACAGTATTTAACATTTTGAGATTGGCTTTTTTCACTAAGCATAATGTCCTTAAGTCCCTCTAAATTGTTTCATGTATCAATAGTTTGTTCTTTTTTATTGTTGAGTAGTATCCCCTGGTAGGAATAAACCAGAATTTGTTTAACTATTTACCTGTTGAAAGACATTTGTGTTGTGTCCACCTTTAGGCTTTTATAAGTAAAGCTGCTGTGAACATTCATGTGCAGGTTTTTGTGTTAATAAAGTATTCATTTCTCTGGGATAAATGTGCAAAAGTGCAATAGCTGGGTCATATGGTAAGTGCATATTTACTTTTAGAAGCTGTCAAGCTAATTCCCATAGCAGCTGTACCATTTTACATTCCTACCAGCAATGTATGAGACATCTATTGGTTCTCCATCCTCACCAGCATTTGGTGTTACCATTAATTTTTATTTTTGGCAACCTAAAAGCCATGTAGTAATATTTCATTGTGGTTTTAATTTATATTTACAGAATGGCTAGTAATGTTGAATATCTTTTGAGAGAAATATTTTTAACTTTTGCTTTATAATCTGAAGCTAAAAAAGTTAACACTGGCAAAAATGATAACATTTATGCAGGAAAAAGATGATGAAAGAAAGATATTGAAGTGGAGAAACCTAGCTGTTTTCCTTATTAGAAAGTAAAAAGAGAGGTGGTAGCATTATCATGTTGGATTTATAAGGATTTTATTCTAAAGATGCATTTGTAGGCTTGTGTATCTTGACTTGTGGAGGATGAATAGATTGTGCTGTGACTTTGAGAGAGATTAGCAATGACATTTGGACACATTTTCAAAGCTACGCTATTTTTATAACTGTGCTATATGAACCATTACAGTAGAAATACTAGCTGTATGACTTCTTATCCAAAGATTATTCATCTTTTTTCAGGCATACAGACTAAAATGCAAACAGATTAAACTAGTGTTTCTGTGAAATAAGAAGAAAGTGTATCTCTTCAAACACGATAGTTTGGTAATTAAAATTCACTCACGTTGGGAACAATTTCCCATACACTTGCTAACCATGCTGAGGGGTCTGAGCCTCTGACATCATATCCCCTCTTTCACACAGTGCATATTTCACAGCTCTTCAGATTCTTTAAGCAGTTTCCATCAGGAGTGAAGGACAAGGAGGTAATCCTTCCAACACTGATTATTTTATTTTCTGCACCACTCCTCTGACGTGGGCATGTTAGTAGAGATTAATACAAAACAAATGCCAGCCTCCCTAATGTGCAGTGTGATATCCAACCTTAAGACTAATTCCACAGGGCGTATAAAACATATGCCTGCAACAGTTAGTCTCATCACTTTATGTAACTCTCAGGCCTTTCTGGGTTCACTCTTAATTAATTTCCGTAGGCTAAGTTGTATCAAATACAGAGAAAGGCCAAGTTGTTTATACTTTTTCATATGTCTAGAGTCTCATGTTTAAGCCATATGAGTAGATTTGGCATACGTATTACTTTATTGATTAAGAAATGCCCTAGACAAGGCACGGTGGCTCATGCCTGCAATCCCAGCACTTTGCGAGGCTCAGACAGGAGGATTGCTTGAGCCCAGGAGTTTGGGGAAAGCCTGGGCAACATAGCAGGACCCCAATTCTACAAAAAGAAATGCCTTAGCTAAATGCTAGGGATACAACCCCTGATCAGACCTGAGCCCTGCTATGAGGCAACCGACAGCTACGTTAACACTTAGAATACAATACAGTAAGCGTGATGATAAAAGTCTGCAACCAGCTCCATGGAGACACAGGAGAAACAGCTCCCACCCTTAGGTTTCATGTAAGTGTGGTCCCATAGTCAAGAAGTATGACAGATGACAGAAAGTCACTAAGCAGACTTCTAAAATTTGTAGCCAACTTAAATGTTGACCTCTGTGGATGAGCCAGAGAGAAAGCTTGCCTATTTACATTAGAAACGGGTCCCAGGAGCTAGGGTTTATGACTAAAGCTCAGCTCTTAAGGCTATATTTTCTTCTTTATCCTTGCTGTTTTTACCTGTCCCTGATGCAGGACTATGGAAGTTTAATGACTATTCAAACGATATTCTTAAAGTACATTAAAAGGCAAAGCTTTTAAAACCAAAGTGCTTGCCCCCAAAGGGAACATGATATTCCAAATCTCTTTCAGAGTTCTTAGATCCAGACTTCCTATTGCCATGATTGTGAAAATGACTTAAATTTGTAGCACTTCAAATCTAACTATTTGGTTGGGTGCTGCACAGTTTTCTGTCAGGCTTTTGTCCTGATATGGGGCATAAACACCTGCATATCATCAGAGGAACACAGTAGAGCTATTGTCAATCTCTCTTTAGTTCCATTACCATACCCATTCCTACACCATCTTTAAATGCATTCTCCATGACTGCCTACCACAGAAGGTGATGCAGGACAGGTGAGCCCCAAAGTGGGGCTTAACCCACAGAGTTCTTGGCTTGGCCTAGGAAAGAATTCAAGGGCAAGCCAGAGGTAGAAGAAAATGGCTTTATTGAAGCAGCAATGTTACAGCTCTGGCAGTGTTACAGCTCTCTGACTCTTCCTGTAGAGTGGGGCTACCCCATAGGCAGAGATCAGAAGCTTAGGGCAATTTTGCAGTCATATTGATACTCATTTTAAATTACATGCAGATTAAGGGGTGACTTATGCAGAAATTTCTAGGGAAGGGCTAGTAACTTTGGCAAAGCCATTGGAAAGCAAGGGACGTATCTCTCACCCTTTCCTTCAACTACATTCTGTAACAGCCATGTTTGCAAGATTGGAAAACATGTATTTGATCCTGTCTGAACTCTTTATTCATTTCTTCATCTTCAGTTTTCTTATAGTAACTGTCACTTTCTACTCTATATGATAATTGTTTATTTGTATATTTTCTCTTTCAAGTTTGTAAAAATCTTTGAAAGTGGGACTTGTGTACTTGGAACTTAATAAGCCCTGAATCAATTCCTAATGTTTGAATAAATGCAGAAACAATTCATCTTTGTTTCCTTCACAGTATCGTGTATGTGATAGATGCTAAAAATATATCAAACGTTTGAAAATAAGTCAATGAATGAAAGGATGAATTTCTAAAGGCCAGCTATTGGGCAAGGCAACACAAGTGACCTCTAGTAGTTTTATCACTAGTAAGTGCATTTATTCACACAGGACACAGGTATGGAACACTAAACACCTTTTCAGTATTCTGCTATGGTCTGGAAATGTAAAGATAACTAAAAAAGATCCCCTCTCCGAAGAAGCTTTAAGTATTATAGACATAGAATGGATGCAGGTTCATTCATGCTACACTTGGATGTCCAAAGAAACTGTACTTTCTTTATATTCTATAATCGATCTAATCTTTATAGTGAACCTTCTTCCAAACACCCTCCACCTGGCTAAGTAGCAGTAGGTGGAGGGAAAAGACTGACTAAATGTAAAACTTGCCAATCCCTTCTAGTTTAAAAACTCTCTTTGGATAACTCAGTTGCTTTTGGACAAATGCTCAGCCTCTCAGACATCACAACCCCCACACTCATATCTGAGATGGTCTGTGGATTTCCAGGAGGTTTGTGTGACCTTGTGGCCTGATGTCGGTCCTGTGCCTAATGTCCCTAGGGGCAGCTGGCTAGTAGTTGGATGTGCACCTGCTGTGCTGGACACGGAGCTGCTGTCTGGCGTTCTGCTGGCCTCTGCTGCTCTCTCCTCCCAGCAGTTGTCTCTCTCTTCTTGTGGACTGCTCCCACCTGCGCTTGATTCTCACTGATAAAGTGAACCTCCAGATGTGAATGCATTTGGTTTCCAACCTTTGTGATTCCTGCAACATAGACTGTTCCCCACCTCCCAGCCGGCACCCCTTCTCAGGCAGGATACACAGATGTCTAAACATCTTCCAGCAACACAGGAGCTGAGGATAATTCCAGGACCTTTAGTGCTCTGCTAAGCACACATCACTTAAGTTGTTCTCTGATGTGGCTTCCTCAGCTGGGTGTGGGGCTTCTGCCTCCCAAAAAACCTGGTGCTTTTTTTTGGTTTGCCTTCAAACTATCTAGCATTCTCTCTATCCTCTGGGACTTCAGAGAGGGCACATCTTGGGCACATATGACTTAATACTTGTTTCTCCCTTGTCAGTTTCCTTTCCTCTTTGCACAATCAGTGGATGAGAGGGAGAGACAAGCTCTCCCTCCCTCTTTCTCTCTAGTATGGACTTCCTTGTCTCCCTTCCTCATCTCCCATCCTCCTTCCAGGGATACCGGGCCTGGTTCAGCCTCTAGAGAGAAGAGGCAACCTTTCACATTCTGGAAGAAACTCTGATATGGTTGGCAGTATGGATTATTGATATGTTGGAAGGAGAATTTCAGAATTTAGAATCCCTTATTTCTCCAGGATTTCCAAGATGCTTCCTTGCTAAAGAAGTCAAGAAAGTCAGCTTTGGGTTTTAAAGCTGATCACTGACCTCTCTGTTCTATAAAGGACCGGCCCTCTTTTTCTTCATGGCTCAGCTTTACAGATAGATGGCTGTATGGAGCATGATTTAACAGGGGAAATTAAATTTCCAAACTTTTATGCCTATTTTGCTGGAAGATAGATCAGTAAATGAATTACAATGCAGTGTGAAATATAGTAAAATGGAGCTACACACGAAATGCCATGGAACTACAGAGGAGGAGTGACTGGCTCTACCCCGTGACAGACAGGACTCCAGAGGTGACACCTGAACAGGATCTGTAAACCTAAGTTTTACTGACAACATGAATCTGACGATAAAGCAGGCCGCTTGGTTCTCTGGTCATTTTCAGCTCCAATGGTGCACGTAGACAGGTTATAAATCAGTGAGGTGCCCTTACATGTTTGTTTTCTCTCTCTGAGCATCAATTTTCTCACCTATAAGTGAGAATAAAAATCCTTTCCCCTGGTGTGATCATGGTATGCAAATGTAAGATTGTATTTGATGGTCCACTAAGGCAAAAATGATGCAACCAACAAAAAAAGTTCTATGATTTTTATCCTGCCACCAGCTCCTAATGTAGTCTCTAACTCCCTCCCTGGTGAAATTCCTCAGTCCTTCCTACTAAGTGACTTTTAACAGTGCCCCCACTGGTCTCCTTATGCTCTCAAGCTTGCCTGAGATCCATATGATAGTCAGATGGCCAAGCTGGGACACCCATTATCTTAGCAATGTCTCCAGCACATAGTAGATGCTCAATAAATGACAGGTCCTGTTACTCACATATTTTCCACTTCATCTGTTCTTTCCATCAATCCAATTTAAGGAAAATACATAAAGAAGATACATTTTGCCTAACCATCCCATCTTCTTATACACTCTTACTCTTGGATAACAAATTTAAGAGGAATGGTGAATTTCAGTTGCATGCAAAGCCATCTAAGTGAAAGAATTTGCTGGAGACAAGGAGAAGGTTAGGAAACCCACATTCCAATTAGCTTTGCCACTGACCTATTATGGTGTTATCCCAGGTAAGACCAGTGCCAGTCAATAGAGGTGAACTCTCATAAAGATTAATGACGCTGCTGCTAGATAGGAACAAAATTATTCCAGCCCACTCTGTTTTAGAGTGAAAGTATCAGGGGAAATTGTACAAGCAAGTGTGGTAGTATCCTACTTGGAATCATGTTTTCCCAGTACCAGGGGCTAAGCTTTGTCTGCAATGAATGTGTTCCCAAAATAATATTTTCAAATATATTTTTGCAAATTATTTATATTTTTAATATACTGGGAAATACACTAGGCAATTTCTTATAAATCAAAAAGTCATTTTGTGCTATGAATAATAAATCACATTTTTTCTTTAGATATTCTTTCTATACACTAAATCTGTGAAGAGTGAAACACTTCTGTAGTCCAGTATTACACCACACACAAAGTTTCCTACTTAAATTCTTAGAACCAATGGACAAATTGCCTGGCATATTTGGTGGATAAGGTTGGATAGGCAAATATATCATTCTTCAAAGTGCTATCTTTTAATAGTATGTACTTATTCTAATGTGGCTACCATTTAGAATTTCTCTTTTGAAATCTCCTTCAGAACCAGTTTTAAGTCATTTAAGTTTCTTTATAATTTATCCTTCATTTGAATCCAGAAAGTATTATCTAGCATAATCCAGCATTTTGGTTCTTTCCAAATAGTAAAACCTACCCAAAAAGTATGAGCAACTGCTTTCATTAAGGATATTCCAATGAGTGCTCAGAGGCAATTTCAAAGAGTTCATATGTTTTTGAGTGATGAAAGATTCATTAAACTACAACCATAACCTTCCAGAGTGACTATCTTGAATGATAACCGTGTTTGGATGAGTGAATTCCAGTGCATTACAGAAGATTAGATATGTAAACACCTGCACATCCTGCTCAATAAGTGGCAATTTTCTTCTTCCCTTAAAAGAACTTTCCATTATTTTCAAGGCACACCTTTCATTATGCATGAACATAGCTGGAACAGTAAGCAGAATAATGGCCCTCCAAAGAAGTCGATGTTCTGATCCCTATAATATGTAAATATGTTACTTTACATAGCAAAAAAGACTCTGTGGATGTTATTAAACTCATGATGTTGCTATGGTGAGATTATTCTGAATTATGTGGGTGACCTCAATGTAATCATAAAGGTTCTTTGAAGAGAAGTCCTTTGCAGGAGTCAGAGTAGAGGGAGATGTAACATTAGAAGTGGAGTTCAGTGTCAGGGAGAGACTTGAAAACACCACATTGCTGGCTTTGAAGATGGAGAAAGGGGCTACAAGCCATGGAATGCAGGCAGCCCCTAGAAGCTGAAAAAGGCAGGGAAAGGGATTGTCTCCTAGAGCCTACAGAAGGAACACAACCCTGCCATCCCCTTGATTTTAGGACTTCTGACCTCCAGAACTATAAGATAAACGTGTGCTGTTTTAAGCCATTAAGTTTGTGGTCATTTATTACAGCAGCAATGGAAAACTAATACAGTTGGAGACAATATCTAAATCCTTCCCACCTACTATAGATTGAGTGTTTGTGTCTTCCCAAAATTCATGTATTGAAATCCTAACCCCCAATATAATGGTATTTGGAGGTGGAGCCTTTGGGAGGAGACTAGATCATGAGGGTGGAGCCATCCTGAATGGTATTAGTGCCCTTATAAAAGAGACCCCATTGATCTCCCCTGCCCTTTACCATGCACGCGAGGACACAGAGAAATGACTGCTGTCTATGAACCAGGGCGTGGGCCCCTACCAGACAGAATCTGCTGTCTAAGTCTTTGATCTTAGACACCAACCTCCAGAACTGTGGGAAATAAATATATGTTGTTTATAAGCCACCAGTCTATGGTATTTTTTTACAGCAGCCTTAATAGACTGAGGCACCACCCTCCAGGCAGGTTCGAAGGCACTTATCTTCTGAGAGCCTTCTCCAAATAGAACTGGAAACATAACTGTAAGAGCAGGTTCTCCTGCCCACCCTTGCTTGTGTTTCCATTGTTTGAGAAAAGTATCCTGCCCAGGAGCTGTTCCTTCTTTGTGGTTACTAAGGTGCCAATTCTCCCAATACTGCCTAGATGGGCTCCTTGGAGAGCACCCTGGTGCTGTCTGCCCAAATAGATGCACATGAAAACACTTCTACACCTTGACTGGTTCCAATGACAGACGTGCTCATTTTGAGTCTATCACTGTACAAAATTCACCTGTAATAAATGGTTAAAGTGGGAAAGAGTCCTTGCATGTAAAAAAAGAAAAAGAAAAACTATGCAAAGCCTGCTTCCATTGGCAATGCATTTGAGGAGATGGGTTTGTTCATAAATCAATAAAAGGCTTCGAGCTGCTTTTTGACTGAAGGGTACAGTCTTAAGGCCACTGAGACTTTTTAAGACTCAATGAGAATGCATAGAAACACCAGCATCTGAGAAATAGCAGGAGTTATTTTTGTCTCTCTCATTCCTTTCTTCCCTCTTGTTTATGTCTTCTGAGTTGGGGCCGTTTCTAATTCAAGAGCCTTTGAACAGGAAGACAGACCATGACTGGGCATTTCCTGAGGCCATTAAGTAGGGGGCTCTGTGAGTAGTTTAGGAGCTGTGACACCATCTGGGCCAGAGAACGATGACAGGAAGTAGCAGCTGCCCAGGGCGCTCACCTTTGATTCCCCGTGGCAGAAATCATCTCAATAAGTAGATTTATACAGTACAGCTAACTCGATGACAGTGGAGCTCCCCAAGTGGTTCAGAGTAATAGAAATTATTCATTGCTTCATTGGTTATTCATTCATTCAACATCTACTATCTGCCAGGCGATGCAATGAGCACCTCAAGACTTTGCTCAACTGTCATCTTTTCAGTGAACTCTTCTCTAACCACCCTGTTTAAAATTGCAACCTCACACCTGCACCTATACTGCCTCCCCTCTCCCCTGTTTAATTTTTCTCCATAGTTCTTATCACCACTGACGTAACTAATTTTACTTAATTGGCTGTCTTGTCTTATAAACTCTGTAAGGGCAGGGAATTTTCTTATTACCTGGAATTTGTATTTTGTGAGATAGTGCCTACACACAGAAGGTGTTCCATAAATATTTTTGAATGAATTCATAAAATACTTGTAGGGTCACTACTGTGTGCCAAGTACCACCCTAGCTGCAGAAGATAAAACTGAGCAGAAAAGAGAAAAATTCCTGCGCTTAAGGAAAGGAATTGCATTTTAGCGTAATCAATACAATTAGGTAATACAGAGACGTATGGGAGCCCCTCAGGGGGCACCTAATCTGGATTTAGGGAGCCAGAGAGGGCTTCCTGGAGGAAGCACTGGCTAAACTGAACTCTGACAAGGGAGAAGGACATGAGAACTCCAGACAGGGGGAACAACATGTAGAAAGAAATGAGTCATGGCAGCCAGGTGCAGTGGCTCACACCTGTAATCCCAGCACTTTGGGAGTCCAAGGCGGGTGGATAACTTCAGGTCAGGAGTTTGAGACCAGCCTGGCCAACATGGTGAAACCTCATCTCTACTAAAAAATACAAAAAGCCGGACGTGGTGGTGCGTGCCCGTAATCCCAGCTACTCAGAAGACTGAGAATGGCTTGAACCCAGGAAGCAGAGGTTGCAGTGAGCCGAGATCGTGCCACTACACTCCAGCATGGGTGACAGAGCCAGACTCCATCTCAAACAAAAACAAAAAAAAGAAAAGAGAAAGAAATGAGTCATGGCCAGGAGCGGTGGCTCATTCCTGTAATCCCAGCACTTTGGGAGGCCGAGGCGGGCAGGTCGTTTGAGCTCAGGAGTTCAAGACAACTCTGGGCAACATGGTGAAATCTCATCTCTAAAAAAATACAAAAAATTAGCTGGACATGGTGGCATGTGCCTGTGGTCCCAGCTACTCAGAAGGCTGGGGTGGGAGGATCACTTGAGCCCCAGGTGCACTTCAGCCTGGGTGACGGAGTGAATAAATGAGTCAAGAAAGACCATGGTATGTTAAGGAATGGCTTCAGCATTGAGTTTGTGGTTGTGTTTTGTGTGTTTTTTAAATTTTTTTTTTTTACAGTAAGAACCCTTAACATGAGCTCTACCCTTATAAATTTTCAAGTGCCCAATACAATACTGTTAACTATAGGCAAATGTTGTACAACAAATCTCTAAAACTAACAACTCTTGTATAACTGACAGCATGGAGTTTAAAGGAGGAAATGAGCAAAGAAGAAGATGAAAAAGTACCTAATGACGGATCACAAAGGGACTGACTTATAAGCCATATTCATGAGTTTGGGCTTAATTCTGAGAGTTTCTACTGTAGGAATAGCATGATGAGATTTGTAATTTAGCAAGATCCCTTGCATGATCTGATCTTTTTTCAGATCAGATCAGACAGAACAGGACAAGTAAAGAGATTCTAAATAGTTTTAAGTGGCTAAAAAGAAAGGACTTGGTGACTTATTCGGTGTGTGAGTGAAAAAGAAAGAAGGATCAATTCATGTGTATTTGTTCAGGGCTCAGCAAATTTTTTTGAGCATATATTATATACACTTTCCCATGGGCAACTAGACATATAGCATGAAGAAGACTGTTCTTACCCTCATGAAGCTTCCTTCCTAAGGCATACTTAGGTTTCATTTTCTGACCCTCCCATTAGAATATGTGGGAGTAAAATACGCATAGATATGGGGAAGAGAGTTCCAAGCAAAGAGGACAGTATAAGGGTGAAGAACTTGAGCATGTCAAGTTTAGGAAATTGAAAGAAGTTACTAGTAGTAAGAGACTAAATTCAAGATGAAGATGGGGCAGATTATATAAGACAAAGTCAAGGAAAGGAGTTTGGATTTGCTCTTAGAAAAATTATTAGACTGTGTTGGGCAGGGGACCGATGTGATCTAATTTGTATTTTTAGATCGTCATTGCTGCTGGTGGAGTATTGACCTTTAAGGAGTAGAAGTGGATGTGATTAGACAGTCAGGGGGCCACTAAGTGCATGATGATCATGACTTGAAGCCACTTGCTAACTGTCGATGTGGATAGAGGTGGTTTGATGCATTCAGTAGATAAAGCCAATAGGATTTTCTGAGCATTCATAGAGGGGATAGGGGAAGTTGGAAAGAAAAGAAAAAGAGCCAAGAATGGTTCCTTAGTTATTGGCCTCAGTCACCGGGGGAATGGTTGTGCCATGTGGTAAAATGAAGAAAACTGGGGAAGAGAAGATGTGAAGCAGAAAATCAAAGCATTCTGCTTTGGTCATGTAGATTTGAGTTTCCTGTTAGACATCCAAGCAGAGCTTGGTATAGGTGGCTGAGTATATGTGTCTGGAGTTCAACAGAGAGGCTGAAACTGGAATTATGAATGTGGATGTCATTCTCATATAGATGGCGCTAAAGGTCATTGTATGATTAGGTCATAGTGGAGTGGGTATAAATAGAAAAGAGAAGAAAATGAAACTGAGCCATGGAGCACATTCAGAGACTAGGGGAAAGCAGGCTGAGGAGAGGCTAGTGTGGTAGAGGAGAACAAGGAGAATGTAGTATGTCCTGGAAGCCAAGTGAAGAAAGTGTTTCAAGGGGAAGTGTGACCCCTGGATATCAGACACTCAGGATTCAGACCTGAGCAACTAAGTCACTGGTGGTCCCATTCAGGGAGGGAAGAATCACAAGAGGAGGGATAATCTGGGAACAAAGATGAGTTATGTTTGAGCCTTGATGAGCTGTGGGGATTTTGGGCACATTCACATTAGATAAGTAGGTGGTTATATGGCTGTGGAGTTCAGGAGATAGATCCAGATTTGAGAGGTACTTTTGGAAGTCCTCAGCCTAGGGATGATTTTTAAAGTCAGAACGGTAGGTGAAATCATTCAGGGTAAATGTGGAACAGTGAGAAGAGACATTATGGCAAAATCCTGAGAACACAATATTTGAGAGATGAGAGTAGATGCAGGAGCCCATAAGCCAGGAACGCGTAAAGGAGTCTGAAGAGGCCCGAGGGATGGAATGAAGGGCAGGGGATGGTTGAGAGCACCAAAAGAAGGAAGGAGTGTCAGATTCTTCGCTTAGTAAGAAGAGGACTAAAATGTGTCTGCTGGGTTAGAAAACAGGGAATGTTTTTGATCCATTTTGATCGTGTTTGGGGAACAGAAACCAGATTGCAGTGAATCGAGGTGTTGAATGGATGTTGATAAGATGGAGACAGTGGCTAAATGCAACTCTTTTAAAGAAGTTTGGCAGGAAAGGAAGTAAGAGGTGGGGTGAGAGCCAAAGAGTGGCACATGTAGAATGTGAAAATAAGACAGCCAAGGATAGGTCCCTCAGAAACACCAACGTTGAGAGGGACCAAAAGAACAAGATGCATCCACAAAAAGACAGAACAAAGGGCCAAAGAGGTAGGAGGGAAAAACAACAGATAAATCAAGAGAGGGAAAATTCAAGGAGAGAGTGGTTAGCAATGCCAACTACTGCAGAGAGGTTTAGTAAGATAAGAAGTCAGAAGCGGCCAGGCAATTTAGCCTTGGTGATCATAGTGAAAGGAGCTGTCAGTATTGCTGTAGCTTGAGGAATGAATGGAACCAAGATGCCAGAGGCAGTAACTGTAGATTGATCTTCACAGGCTGGCTGTGAAGAGGAAAAGATAAATAGCTACAGAGCCAGTGGGCATCGAGAATAAGACCAGGACTTGTATGGTGAAGGAACACAGCAAGCAGAAAGGGATGAGGATCCAGGAGGGAAGTGGGATAGCTGCTGGAGCAAAGCCTCAGAGACAGCAGATGGGGAGAGGGGACGGCTCCAAAGAACAAAGGGCAGAATTGCCTTCCCCACCAGGCAAGTCCTTAGGGGAAGAAACTGAGTGTCAACTGGAGGAAAGAAATGTGTGTTCATTGGCAGCTGTCCACCTGCACCTGGATGTAGAGTATTCACGCCGGTATCCTCTGCATCTATAACAATCCTGGTCACTTAGTAGGCATTCAATAAATGTCTTTTGGATGAGTAAATAAGTGACTAGTATAAGGTAGTAAAAATCTGATTTTTGCATTTTTCTTGCTCTGTCACATAAGCTGGAGTGCGGTGGTATGATCCTAGCTCACTGCAGCCTCAAACTTCTGGGCTCAAGTGATCCTACCACCTCAGCCTCCCACGTGGCTGGGACTATAGGTGTGTGCCACCACGCCTAGCTTATTTTCGTATTGTTTGTAAAGATGGGGTCTCACTTTGTTGCCCAGGCTGGTCTTGAACTCCTGGCTTCAAGTAATCCTCCCACCTCCATCTCCCAAAATGCTAGTACAGATGTGAGCCACCACACCCAGCAATTTTTGCGGTTTTCTAACGAAACCTGGAAATAAACCTAGAAATAAAACCCAAAAAGTATAAGATGCTTTCCTCTGGCTTTTGAAATTATTTCTCCATACTATTATAATGTGGAGAGGAATCAAAAGTAATGCAAAATTAATGTAGAATTAATATTTTATCAGAAAACTTTTATTTCCTTCAATATGTGCTTTGAAATGTGTACTTGCTTTAATGTTACTGTTAATGTTCCTATGTTCATGAATTCTATAAATTAGAAGTACAAGTTAGAGTTTGGCTGACTTAAGACAACCACTTCTCCAAAAATACCCAAGGTAGCCACACAGTATCAGAAAATGAATGGTTCTAATTCTCATGCACTTTGTCTTATAACCTATACTTTATTTAATGTAAAAAATGCAGAGGAACACCCCCAACCAGTGACCATTTTTCAATAGCCTCAGAGTTTTCTCTCTCTTGCATGGTACTCTCAATGTAAGAGAGAGCTCACAGATGCTAGATTGATTTGAGGCTAATCCAGTCTAGACAACTTTGATGACTGGATCCTGTATAGTTTCTGCTCCACCTGGGCCTTGATTACTTAAGCTCATTTTATGTAAGGAGAATAGCAGGCCTGTGATCACATCCTGGCTCTGACATTGCCAGGTGACTTCAAGAAAGTTACCTACTATCTTTAGAACTCCATTTCCTCATCTGTAAAATGGGAAAAATAAGAACATGTATCAGGGAGCCTGGCATATAGTAGGCACTCAGTAAATGTTAATTCCTTGCTTTTTACTTTTAGAATCTGGTTCACTGATGATCAGAACTTGTTTTTAAAGCTGATAAAGGCTTTGATGATACCCGATGATCCTCAACAAGGAGGATCTTGCCCCCAGGACAGCTCTGCTCTCACCGAAGGCAGATTTCCCCGCAACTGAGCTAGAGAGCTTGTGTCTAATTATCTGTATGTTCCGGTCACCTAGATTTCTAGGTACTTGTCCCAGATTTTCAGTGCATGGCAGTGTCATTTCTTTCTTTCTTTCTTTTCTCCTTTGAGAGCTGAAGCCAAAAGTAAAGTGAATAAACTTGAGCAACTAGAAAGTTCGGATGACTGGCACAAGGGGACATATACAATTTACACATTTAAATTCCTATTGGTAGGAAAAGAAAAGTAGTTTGGTAGAAATATTTTTCTAAATCCAAAAAAATAGGGTATTTCCTGGAAAAGGGCTGTTATATATAGTTAGCACAGTGACACATTTGATTAGCTTAGCTCTCTTGGACAATGTGATGGAAACATGGCTTTATCCAACATGAATATTTTAAGACAGTAAAACCTAAACAGTAAATTCTAAGGTATAGGGTTTGGAAGGGGAGAGCGCTGTGAATAACATAGCTCTGAGAAGGAAAAAAAATCTCAGGGAGAGAGTGTAAGAGAGGTGGTGGCTGTCTACCAAAAAAGTTTGTTCCAGATGAAATATACTACTCCCTGGAATTACACTCCTGGTCAGATTTTCAGATGCCTCTGGGATGGTGACAAATCCAGGCCACAAAATTAAAATGGTTATTGATTGTATGTGAATGTATGTTCCACAAAATATTTTCTACTCTCTTCAGCTGGCCTGTCAGCTTAAAGAAGACTTCTGGTGTGTGTGTGTGTGTGTGTGTGTGTGTGTGTGTGTGTGTGTGTGTGTGACTGAAGTTTGTCCTTTTAAAGATCCTTCCCTGTTAACACTTCAGTTTTACTCACTGGAGATGAATTTATATATGTCACTTTTAGAAACATGGGAGAATTGCCAATTAGAAGCAGAGGAAGGGAGAGTGGGGAAATGTTCTCTTTCCTAGAATCACCTACCAGTTGCCTCAGGTTTAGCCTCTGACAGCTGGGCCACTTGAGGAGAGCTCTTTGCCTGTGATAGCCAGAGGGGAGCATTAATGAGGATCTGAAGACTGGCAGAGGAGTCTCTTTTGGGCACAGACCATTAGAAAGAGGGATGAGGTCACCTCATTATGCTCTGCTGGGATTGGAGAAGTTTTTTAAAAATAAACTTTTTAAAATAAACCATCAGCTTCCCTTGAAAACAAACCATCAGCTTCCCTTGAAAACACTGACCTGACTCTTGTAGATTTTTGCACTCTCATACATAACATATGTTGTTTTATATATTTTGAAAGAAGTACAGATGCTCCTGGACTTATGATGGTGTTACATCCCTATAAACCCATCATAAGTTGAAAATACTGTAAGTCAAACCATCCTAAGTTAGGGACTGTCTGTATATGCTCGAGAGAGGAAATTTGGAAACCACAGAGAATTTGGGCCATGGAGTTGTGAAGATTCAGTTATCCCATTCAAAGATAACCATTGTTAACATTTTATTCTTATAGATTCTAATTTTCTCCATCCAGAAATTTTTATGCCTAATACTATGATATGTAGATGTGTAATCAGGAAACAAATTTTTACATGAACATGTATGTCATCTAAAGCAAGCATGGTATAAAGGGAATGTAGAAGGACTCCTGTCCTTCCCATGATACCACCCAGGTCAGGGAAGACTTCCATTCCCTTCTAAAAGCTGAGATGATGGGAAAAAACTGTCTCTCTCTCTCTCTCTCTCTGTCTCTCTCCATCTTTCCATTCCCTACTTGCTCCACCCCAAAGAGGAAATAGCTAAAGTTAATATCCAGTAGGAGACTTTACCACTTGGTGGAGTTGTGATGCTTTAAAAGAAAACTAAAAGTTTTGAGGAAAAAAAAACTACAGTGCTTCATTTCTGCCTGCTCTATGTCCCTTGCTGGAAAGACCCCTGAAATACAGAGTCCAAGACCTGAAGACCATTTCCCCCAGGATATCTGGCTAAGAAAGTTGAGGCTAAGTTAAATTGGAGTGGGAGATGGGAGGCAACACTGCCTTCTCCAATCCAGGTCTAAAATTAATACAGCTGTTTGATCTCCATTGGTTCTTGGGGTCTTTTAGGTGAACCATGTAGAATACAACCAATTTGACCTACAAATGTGGCAGTTTCAAATGAATCAAGCTATTATTTTCTGCCAGTTAAATCCAAGAAGAGAGGAAAACTAGGTGATTGGGACCACAGCATCCAACATTAAAGAAGAAAACAGAACATGTAGTATTTTAGACACAAAAGACAGCCTCTAAATAGACATTTTATTAGAATGAAAACATAGTACTATACTCAGCTTTTCTGAAGGTAGTTAAAAGCCATAAGTTGAAGATAAAGAACAAGCATTGCCGAGTTGTTAGGTTTGTAAGTAGAAAATGGAAATGCTATGGAGATTTCCTGAAATCACTGTTCTTAATTTGCAGAGCAGTTTTCCAATCTTAGTTACCTAGATTTCCTTGTCATTTTCATCCATGTTGCAGAGCATATAAGTCAGAAAACATAAAATACCATAATGTACTAACTTTATTACACTCTGATTATTTTTTTCATGAGTTAAGGTAATTATTTGAACAGGTAAAACTGAAGTTACAGATTTGATCTTTTAGAATAAAGCACTTCCTGCTTTTATGGAAAGAAGTAACCTACTGGCCTTTTCCTGCACTTCTGGGCAAAGCTACTCATTCTTTTGAAAGTACAATGAATTTTGTTATTACTTTGGATTATTTTATGGAACTTTGCATAATCAACTCAGAAAAGCTAACAGTAGGCTAAAGTCTAACATTTAAGTGCTATGTGACTATCTAATTTTTCTAACGAAAACCCTCTATCTTGTTTATCTGACATCAATATCACTGTGCTCTTTTCGAAAAGGGTAATTTTTACCCAACTGATATTTTCCAGCAGTAAATACAAATATCCAAATTCAAAATTTCATTTGAAACTCCATAAAAGTTTGGAGAAAGATACAGATTTTCCCCCAAAGCCTTCATTTAACATTTGACAATGAGATAATGGATGTAAAAGCTCTTTGAAATCCCTGGGGATTTTTTAAGATGGGCAGGGATGTTGAAGACTAAAAAATATGGCAGTAAATTTCATCTGAAGGGAAAAACAGATGAGAATAGCCAAGATAATTCTGAAAACAATGAATAATGAAAACCAATTTGCCTTAGAAAACATTAAAAATGCATTGGTAAAGCTACAGCAATTAAAGCAACATGATACTGTTGGTAGTATGGTATATAACATGACCCTAAAATGGATCTTAATATATATAAAATATACTACAGAGAAAATATTGCAGAGCAACAAGAAAGGGACCGATTATTCAACAGATGCAGTGAGAAGGTTGACTGTAATAAGAAACTGAATTAGCTATTAACTTAATTTCATGCAACAAAATATTCTAGATGAATTAAAATTTTAAATGTTAAAAAAGGAATCATAAATAACTAAAAGAACACATAGATGACTTACCATAGTTGACTACTTCGCTGATTTGGGGAGAGAGAAGAAGTTTTTTTAAAATGAGCTTATAAATAAATATTTAAACCCATAATTTTTTTAAAGCTATAAAAAATTTTCAACAAATACGATAAAGGTCTAATAGCCTTAATAATATATAAAGATATTTTATATATCAGTAATAATACTAATACTTTAATAGAAAGAAAAAGTTTTGCTTCATCAGTAATCACATAACAAATTTAAAACAATTATAAAAGTTTATGTTTGATATAAATTGGCAATAAAAAAGATAATGTACAAATTGATAGGAGTACAGTAAGATTGGAACATTCATACTCTGAAATTGAACAAGTAAATAGCCACTAACTTTGTGGAGAAAATTTTGACAGTATGCATCAAGAGTTTTTAAAAGTGTATACTCTTTAGACCTATCATTTCATGGTTGGGAATTTATCCTAAGATAATATTCAGAGATATAGGCAGAAGCTCATATTTAAGTGTGTTGTTTGAAGCATCATTTATAATTCAGAAGAACAGGAACAAATAAAATCATCAAAAATACAAAAATGATTAAAATAGTACTTTATAAAAATATTGACAAATACCTCATTTAAAAATGGGCAAATAATTTGAATAGATATTTTTCAAAGAAGATACAAAAATGGCCAATAAGCATACTAAAAGGGGTTTAATATCATTTGTCACTAGAAAAATGCAAATCAAAATCATAAGGAGATACCACTCCACACCCAGCAGGATAGCAAAAATCAAAAAAAAAAATACAGTAACAAATGTTGATAGGATAAAGAGAAACTAGAACCCTTGTACATTGCTGATGTGATTGCAGAATGGAATGGACACTGGAAAAGAGTTTAGCAATTCCTCAAAGTGTTAAACACTGAGTTACTATATGACCTGGCAGGGCCACTTCTCAATATCTACCCAAAGAAATGAAGCCCACATGTTCCTCATAAAAGCTTGCTTGAAAATGTTCGTTGCAGTATTATTTATAATAACCCAAGAGTGGAAACAACCTAAATGTTCATCAACTGAGCAATGTGTAAGTAAAACATGATATATCCATACAGTGCAATATTATTCAGCAGTAAAAAGGAATGAGGTGTGATACATGAACAACATGGATGAACCATGAAAACATCATGTTAAATGAAAGAAACCAGTCACAAAGGGTCACATATTGTATGATTTCATTCATATGAAATAGTCAGAATAGGTAAATCCATAGAGACAGAAAGTAGATTCATGTTTGCCAGGAGCTGTGAGGAGAGAGGAATGTACAGTAACTGCTAGTGGGTATGGAGTTTCTTTTGAGGATGGTGAAAAGGTTCTGAAATTAGATAGTAGTGATGGCTGTACAACTTCATGAATACACTAAAAACCACTAATTGCATACTTTAAAAGGGTGAAATTTATAGTATATTTATTATATCTCAACAATGTTAAGCTAAATCTAATGATATGATAAAGTATCTATATTACAGGTTTAGGGTTTTTAATTTTTTTTAAAAAAGAAGGCAACTTCTTTTGGGTGTCTTTATCCTAAACTGGGAGTCCCTGGAGTGCAGGGACAGTTTTATCTACCTTATCACAAAGCCTGGCTATGCCCATATAAAGCAGTCACACAACAAAAAATTATTAAATAAATGAATGTAGTGTTTCCTTATGGTGTTATGAATTTCCTGAGGGAAGAAAGAAAGGATATCTTGTTCATCTATATATGCCTTCACTGTCTCCACTCAAAACCTGGGATTTGGTAAATGCCCAGTAAATGTTAGCTGAATGAAAGAATAAACTTTTCCTGGCTTTATTCTTCCTCTAATTCTGCAGTTCTCATGACTTCCTCACTACCATTCCGCTAATTTCATTTAACCTATTTCTTCTACAAAATATGAATTTTATCCCTGTAATATTAGTTGTGTGTATCTACGCCTTTGTCTGTGAATGTATTTAATTGACTTGTGTCTGTCTCTCTAATGTCTTTGTGATTATAACTGAATTTATAAAACTCTGAAGTTACTCTGTTCACTTGACTGGATGAGGCCAACTGGCACTTGAATGATGGTGATGATGCAATATTTTTGACCTACACAGATTCCATTGCACAATCACTCTTATAAAGTTATATGGTTGTGATAAATGCAATTGTACTACATGACTCTCAAAATTGATGCAAAGTGATTAAACAAAGAAAATAATATAAATTCTGTCCCCATGGCATGTCTTATAACCACACGAAGCCCAACAGCCTCACCTGTGGTGTGATACCTTAGTATCCAGTCAATATCATACTTGGCCTTGGATTCTCTCCTGAAACATCCAGAGGCCTTCCCTGGTGCTGACTGATGAAGGAATTCCATTTCATGAGACTTAGGCCATAAAAATATGCTTACTGCAAAATGGCCAACTATCTCCTCTTCTTGGATTTGGGCTGGCTCAAAATTATTCAGAACAACACTATATACAAATATGCATATATACATATGCATACACAAGCATAATAGTCAACACATTTTCTTTGTAGAAAATTTAAATTAAAGTGCACAGTGTCAGAGTAACAGAATGCAGGTCAGCAGGATTTAGGGCCCACGTGAACGCACACAGGGGCTGGGGCTTTGGGCTTTGGTAAACGCTCAATAAATGTCAGCTGAATGAAGAATAAACTTTTTCTGGCTTTATCTCTCCTTTAATTCTTGAACTCTCATGACTTCCAAGGGGGTTTTGCAGGAAAGAGCCAGAGAAACAGAGAAGAGAGTGAGGTTCCCTTGGATATTGAAGGGAGGGGGGCTGTAGCAGCTGGCCACCCACTTGGCAGGGGTGAGGCAGAAGCACCGATGACCCAGAGGACTTCCTCTCTCTGCTTTTCCTAACTCCCTCTATCCCACCCCTCTGGGGCTGGGATGTGCCAGCAGTTGCCCGAAGCCCCTGGTAGCATTGCTAAGGGGAGACAGCCCCCTAATCCCCATCCCATGTTACTGCTCCACAGCCTGTGCCTCTCCCTGCATCCCAGACTTAGAGTTGTGAACTCTTGTGGACCAAAGACTTGTAAAATATTCTGTAAAACCGGGATACAATTGGGGAGACACACCAGCTGTAAAGAGGGTTTGCAGCCTGAAGGCAGATCTCACAGACACTCAGAAAATGTTCCATCTTCATGAGACTGTCCACTACTGGGACAGCTTCATGACCGTGTTTGAGGGGGCTGCGCGCATCATGATGAGCACACTTTCGGAAGTGTGGGTGTCTAAAGCCAGGTTAAGGGGTCTGCGGAGTGCTGGCAAAGGAAGGGAGCATCCACAGAAGTCCAAAGAGAAGCTCGAGTAGATTTTGGCAGGAAGGAAGGGATGGGATGCGTGTGTGCAGGAGAGGGCATAACCAAATGTGATTAAAGGCCACAGAGAAAGGCACAGTGATAAGATGGTCAGAGATCAGCTGGAGTGGAAAAGAAAAAGAGGTAGGGAGAAAGAGGGGAAATTAAATGACGCTTCAATCTTCCTGTACATATACATATTTTTAAAATTTTAGTGCTACTTAATGTTGACTGTCTTCTGTTGTCTTAAAAGTAATGTCAGCATGAACCTTTTTTATTTAAATAACTTTTGGAAGCTGCACTTGAACTCCGATCTAGCAGTCCAGACGCTAGTGTTTTAGCCCCAGTTCTAATACTAATTTGCTTTTCTCTTAGACCATCAGTTCCCTTATTTATAGAGTAGATACAGTCATAACTCCCTTAAAGGGCTGTTGTGAAGATTTACTTTGTCTACCATAAAAATAACATAATCGTTTTTACAAACTGTAAGTGCAAACTTAATGCAACCAACTGTAAATGTTGTTTAAAACTACAGGGTTCAAGCTGGGCGCTGTGGCTCAGGCCTGTAATCCCAGCAGTTTGGGAGACTGAGGCAGGAGGATTGCTTGAGCCCAGGAGATTGAGGCGAGCCTGGGCAATATAATGAGACCCCATCTCTATTTAGAAAATGAATTTAAAAAAAAACTACAAGGTTCAAATTGTAATCCTGTTGCTATCACCATGACTTCAGAGACTTTTCTCCAGCCATTGTGTACTGTGTGCCTCCATGTCTCTATCTTTTTGTTTGTTTTGTTCTGTTTTGTTTTGTTTTGAGACAGAATCTCACTCTGTTGCCCAGGATGGAGTGCAGTGGTACAATCTCAGCTTCTTGCAACCTCTGCCTCTCAGGTTCAAGCGATTCTCCTGCCTCGGCCTCCCAAGTAGCTGGAATTACAGGCATGCGCCATCATGCCTGGCTAATTTTTGTATTTTAGTAGAGACAGGGTTTCTCCATGTTGGCCAGGCTGGTCTCGAACTCCTGACCTCAAGTGATCCTCCCGCCTCAGCCTCCCAAAGTGCTGGGATTACAGGTGTGAGCCACTGTGCCCGGCCGTGTCTATAAAATTAGAAAACAGAATCGTAGACACCTCTGGCATGTGTTGCCTAAGGATTCAAGGCATAAGGAGAATAAAATTCGTTTAAATCCTTAGGGGGAAAAAAGGAATCTATGTAAATCTAAGAGTAATAAACACTTCACTTTTCCATTAAAGTATTTTTAATGTCCTTGGAGATTTTTCAGAGCATAAGATGGTTATAAAATAATATTTGTTTATTTTTTCATATGGATATTTTATAATTTCTTTTTAGATTCAGAGATGTATGCAAAGAAAGTTAAATCTACTGAAAAGATTAATGGCAATCAGAAGAGGAGTTTTTGTTTGTTTGTTTGTTTGTTTTCTTTTTTAACAGTTTCAGTTATAATGCTTCTCTTTTCTACTTCTCTAACAACCACTTAGCCAAGGAATTAAGCTACGAGAAAACTGTTGAAAAATTATTTTGTCAGTATGTTTTATGTTATGTGACCACGAGGGGAAAGCTGAAGGCAAAAATCACTAAAAAAGAATAGCCTGTTTACTAAGAGCAGCTGCCAAACAGTTTCTCTTCAACAGTTACAGATGCCATGGTGAGAGCTTCAGCTGTAGCAATTAAATATTCCTGTCATTGACCTTCACTAAAACATTGTCCAAAAAATTATTATGACATAACTTCTGCTGATACTAACAATTTGTGTGACCTTGAGCACATCATTTCACCTCTTAGGACTTAGGAAGCCTCAACTATTAAATACAAGGGTCTTGGTGATTCTAAACTGAGGAGATACTGCCCTCCAGGGGCGTTTGCAAATGTGTAGAATGTTTAACGGTCAAGGCCCAGCAATGCTAACTGCCCTGCAGAGAGCATGAGACAATCTTGCAAAATCAGTTGTCCCACCCTAAATGCCAGTAGCAACCTTGATTATCTCTAATGTCCCTTCTGACAGTCAGTGATACCATATGTCTGACAATTCATTGATTTATTCAGCCACCAATTACTGAGGCCCCATTGTATGATAAGCACCAGGCTTCTCTCCTCAAATGCCCCAGAAACACTGGCTTGATTGTATCCTTCTTTAAGAAAAATTATGATTATATTCTTCTTTCCCTTCTCTTCTTTCTAAAAGTTTGCACTTACCCACAGGACCACCTGACACTTACAAATAAGGATTTTCCAACTCAAACCATTAGAGGAATAGATCTCAGGACTCATCAAGTGCTTTGGCTTTTCTAATGACACTGAGAACCTAAAAGCTCACTTCAGCTCTCCTCAAAGATTGGACCATGGCCTAGCTTGCCCTCAATAATTCAGGAATAGAGGCCTTCAGCTCCACTGACTGAGGGCTTCCAGCCAGATAATGAAACCCTAATTCTGTAGTGTGCAGCTAAATATTTCAACTTGATTCAATCATTTTTAATTTTTAACACAAAACACCAACTGTTTTATGCCCAGTGAACAGTTTTCAATGACAAACTGAAATTTCCTAATACACTGAAATAGCATCTGAGGCTAGCTGTAAAACCTACCTTAGAGCATATTACCACATCATTAACTCACATTGCTAATTAACTGCAGTGAGCAACTGTGTGCTGTAGTACAATCCTACCTGCCACCACCTCCTTCCTGTAGCCCCTCCAAGAGTGCTGTGACCTTTGGGCTCAGCCCCCAGCCATCACAGTGCTACTTAGCATTCACGTGGTCCTTCCTCACCTTATCATCTCAGCAACCTCAGGGATAGCTTACTATTCTGAGTGCTTGTTTCATTTTGCAGAGGAGAAGACCAGTGCACAGAGAAACATGAGCATCTGTCCAGGTCACAAAAAGCTTTGGGGATAGAGGGGATTCACAATGCTATTTGCAGTGCCAAGAAGCCACTCTGATGTTCAGGGATGCTTTGCAAATACGCAAACCTTTTCCAGCCTTCAGTGAATCTTGGAGACTCTATTTTGATGTTTCTGGTCATTAAAAATCTTTGTATATATTTGTTCAATAACTCTTATTGAATACTCCTCTTAATCCCTGCAGTGTTCTGATGCCAATAATCCTGTGCTAATTAAGTACTATTACAATTGGAACTACAGAGGAGAAGTACAGCATTCAACAAAAGCATCAAACAGGACTCGACCTAGCCTGGGGATCTAAGAGGCTTTCCTGAGGAGGCAAATTATAAGTGCAGGCCTGAAGGATAAAGGAGGAGGAAGTTCAAGCAGTGGAGCTCCTCCAGAAGGAGGAGTGTACATAAGTGAAGGCCCTGGGGCATGAAGGAGAGGCTTGTTCCATGTAGCAGAGGATGTTAGCTCAGTCTAGGTGGCAGAAGTGGGAGAGGGTGGCATGAGTAGATTTGAGAGATGTTTGGAAGATTAAATTGGCAGAATTTGGTAATCAATAGGATATAGGCAATGAAAGTGAAGGAGTATTGAGGATCACTGCCCTGTACTGGCAGCTGGGTGGTAGAGGCCACTTGTTTAGAATTCCAGCAAGGAGATATACTGGATGGTTGGACAAATCATAAGTTCCTCATGTGGTACAAGGAACTTGCAGTTCTATGTGACATCACTTTGTCTAAGAAAGACCCTGTCTTGGATAGTGTATCCAGAGGTCTTACCACAGTGTGGTAGAATCTGAATTAGTTCCATGGAGCCCAAAGAGTGTGTTTGAAAGCAGAGTTATAGACCAGCAATGAGGGCCTCGTGATTTAAGAATTACTTTCATATGTAGTATCTCTGAGGTTCATGCTGATCTTTGGGGAAAGTTGTTATCTTCATTTTACTAACAGAAATTTGAGGCTCCTGAGCTTGTGATTTGCCCAAGGTCACATAGCTGTAAATGAGAATCTGTACTCAAATTCAGGTCTTCTGGCTCCTAGCACAGGGGTCTTCTCATTTCACCACATTATCTCTCTACATAATTGGGGCAAATTCTCTATCAACTCTTTGGACTTACATGTCAGATGGAATCTCACTATTTGTACAAAATATATAAAAAATGAAATCAAATTTTTTTGCTATACTCTATTCAACTTTCTTTAAAAAATTTTTTTTCTAATAGTTCTTTTAAGTATTTCTACTTTTGAGACTCATATTTGTATTTATATTTAGAGCACTTTTTTATTTTAAGAATGAAATGACAAGAACAGATCAATTTTTACTGGTAGCAGGAAGACAGCTGTCCAGGAGAAATTAAATTCAACTTTTGTCTAATTTCTAATAATTCATAAAACATTATAAGACCTCTGCACCCTCATCTCCCATTCCCGGATCTACTCGTAAAATAGGGGGACAATGTAAAAAGGCTGGGTGTACTGTCCCCGAACCAAAGATGTTCCCATGGAGCATGGCCTGGCCCTGAGGAAGACAGGAGGCAGAGCTGCCCCAGCACCTGGAGGCAGGAGACTCTTCACCACCAGCCTGTCTTATCAATTTGCCTTCTCCCCTTTCCCTTAAAGTTTGGGGGATGTTTACAATTAAGTAAATAAATAAAGCTAATTTCCATTTATTTCAGAGTCTGTTTTAAGTACATCAAGTCTGGGTCTACACAAAATCTCAGGTTCAGGGGAAAGGCAGAACCCTTTCTGCAGAACTAAATTACTTTTCCCTACTACATGGAATGCTTCCTCCTGAATCTCCTGTTGTTGTTTACCTTCATCCCTCCCAATAGCTCCTGGACTGTTTTGTGATCCCAGTCGTGATTTTGCTCTCCTGGTTCTTCCTGCTGATCCGGTACAAGGCTGTGCATTTCATCGGCATCGTTGTCTGCATCCTGGGAATGGGCTGCATGGTGGGAGCAGATGTGCTTGTGGGAAGACATCAGGGAGCAGGTGAGTCTTCGGATGTTCACCAGGTTCCTTACCTCTGCGGGTGAGGCCAAGGCAAGAAATGGAATGTTCATAGTTGGGTGAAAACAAGGACCTTAGGAACCTGGATTTCCCACTATCTGTGTCCTGTTCATGTCTGTTCCCCACACCTGAAACAGGGCACACAGGAGGTGCTTAATGCATGTTTCTTGAGTGCATGAGTTTGCAAAATACAGCTTTCATGCCCTTTCTGCATCCATTCAGAAACATGCAGACAGTGTTTAAAACTGAGAGTCATGACCTACCAAGAAGATGTTTTGGAGGTCAGTCCGTTCCTGAACCAGCTGCCTGGCCCAAGCCCTGGTCCTTGGTAGAGTTGGTGGTAATGAGCTAATTCACTCCTGAGCCACAGGGCCTTCCACACATTTCCCCAACCCCAAACCTTTCTCTGTCAAGCCAGAGAAAGACTGAGCTTTCAAACTACTGGGTGAAGGTTGGTTTATAGGCCCACGAGTAAATAAAGTTTGAGGACTAGTTAGGAGTGCTCCATAATTTTAGGAGGGAGAGTTAAGTTCAGTCTTCTCACACATGGTTTTTAATTTGCTTTGCGAGGAGGGGTTATTGGTATCAATTAGAGTTTATAAACCCATAAGGTAAAGCTGCATGATTCACTCATCAAATTGCTGTGAATCTGCTGGGGGAGCCCTGAGTCAGGGTGGTTTCCAGAAGACCCTTTTTAAAGCATTGCAATTCTTTAAAATATACCAAAATTTTAGCTACAGAAGGGTTTTTGGAACAGAAAAAAAATGACCTTCTTTGTTAACATTAGAAATGGGATAGAAAGTACCCACTTTTCTATAGTTCTTGGAATTGCCCCTTCTTCTAGGAAATTAGATGATAAAGAGTCAAAAGTGGACCGTTTCTCTTTATGAGACAAGGTCACGTTAAGTCTCTGAAACAATGTCATGTATGTTGTACCATAGAACTTTATAACTGAAAAGGACCTTGTTCAACTCCTTTGTAATTGACATATGTGAACACCAAGATCCATCCAAACCAAGTGAGTTGCCCAAAGTCACAGAGCTGACAAAGCAGAGACTGGAACACAAGGCCCCCGGCCTCCAGGGCAGGCCTCTTTCTCTGTCCCATGTTGCTGGGAGCTGAAGATACAACATAGAACAAAAGAGAGACAGCCTCAGCCTCACACATCCACACCATCTACACAACACCATCAGTCCCCACTTCAATAGAAATCTGAAAATAAATACCTCAGTGTTTCCCAGATTCTCTTCTATGAAACACTGGTTCCATGACATATTGATAGACGTCATATGAAAAGGCCAATATTATGCTATATACATGTAGTAATGTTGATATGAATAATCTTTTTGGACCAATCAGATAATATTTTTGTCTTATACAATGTGGCCAGTTGTTCTAAAGTCATATATATGTATATATATATATATATTTTTTTTTTTTTTTTTTTTTTTTTTTGAGACAGAGTCCCGCTCTGTTGCCCAGGCTGGAGTGCAGTGGCGTAATTTCAGCTCACTGCAACCTCCACCTCCCGGGTTCAAGTGATTCCCCTGCCTCAGCCTCCCAAGTAGCTGGGATTACAGGCACCTGCCACCACACCCAGCTAATTTTTGTATTTTTAGTAGAAACGGGGTTTCATCACATTGACCAGGCTAGTCTTGAACTCCTGACCTCAAGTGCTCCACCAGCCTCGGCCTCCCAAAGTGCCAAGATTACAGGCATAAGCCACTGCGGCCGGCCTAAAGTTGTAATTTCATTACACTTTCTCAGCTTTCCGCACACTGTGTAAACACAGGCTAAGCAGAAGCAAGTACCCTTAGTTATAAAAACTCTATCTTCATGAACCCCAGCCATTCATCTTGGCCATCATCTTGCATTCGATAGTCAACTATAAAGATGAACATTTAAGCCTAGAATGTTAAGCTAATTTGAATTGATTTCACTAGATTGTATTCATTAATCCTGTAAAAAATGTTGTTTTGATTTTAAATGAAGTGTTAGAAAAGAAGCAAAACTGCTTAAGAAAAAGAAAGTAAGTCTGTTAGAGAGTCTTTCCAAAGTGTCATTTTTAAAAAAACAATGTAGATGTGGCTAAAACATACTGGAGTGGAATTTGGTTTCTCCATGTGAATCTGCTTAAGGCCCACAGCATCATTGCTTTTGTGATATACAAAGCATCAGTGTTAACAGAATTAAGCTTTATCATTGTGGAGCACCTTCTGTGCTATTGAAATGGTGCCCAAGTACATAGAATGATGTTTTAAGACCAGCCCAGATATAGGATCCAAGGACTCATTTTATAAAATTATGATTGGACATGCTCTGCCTCTATAAAAATATTAAAGTAGGCAGCAATTTAAGCCATCACAGAGAACATATTTTTTTAAAGAAAAAAAAACCCACTGGTTTTGAGGTCAATAGAATCCTAAAATTGTTACATATCATTATCAAAAATATTCCTTTTTTTTCATGTCTATGGCAGAGTTGGTTCAATTGCATTAATCAGCCAGGGTCACAAAACTTTTCTAAAATACTGCAGGTACTCACCAGAACATAAGTCAGGCATCCAAGTCCATATAAGATGTCATCACCAGGCCAGGCACATTCAGAAATCCCAACGACTCAAGAGGCCAAGGCAGGAGGGTCACTTGAGGCCAGGAGTTAGAGATCAGCCTGGGCAACACAGTGAGACCCCATCTCTACAGAAAAAATTAGCCAGCATGGTGGTGTGCACCTATAGTCCTGCCACTTGGGAGGCTGAGGCGGGAGGATCGCCTGAGCCCAGGAGTTTAACGTTATAGTGAGCTATGATTGCACCACTGCACTCTAGCCTGGGCAACAGAGCAAGACTCTACCTCAAGAAAATCACAGTAATAATAAAATTATCACTGTATTAACAATTTTGCACAGGAAAAGAGACTGTCTGACTTCATCCTTTTTATAATGCTTAATCTATGTTTCATCTTCGTTTGGGATTTTGACAATTCTGTCTCCAAGCACATTGATGTCGGCCCTTTCAAAGTTTCTTTGACTTCATTATAATTAAAGCAATTGCTTTAATTCCACTTCGTCAGCATGTTTCTTCATTAGCTATCCAGAAATTCTTTGTTTTGATTTAAGTCTGGCTGAAGGAAACTTCTTAGATGGCATTAAGTACTTCATGTACAAAATATAAGTTTAAGGGCACAGAATGATGTGCCAGGAATAGGGCTTTTGATGAAACTTGACCAGCAAGTTTTCCCACTCTAGACAGAGGTGGAGAGAAAGCATCCTAGTCCCCAGCCTGGAAGACTCTGCCTTAGAGACTATAGAGTGGTATATGTGTTGGGAAGGATGCGAACAGCACTTATGTTCTCATTCTATGTTTGTCACCTGTACAACTCATCACCCACTATAGGATGCTTCCACGCCTTTGAGCTCACTTGAAGGAAATGTCTTTTCCAAGCTTACTGGTAAAAAATCAGTGGGCTTAATATGTGTATTCTCTTTGTCACCTTGGCTCCATGTCAGCAGTATAGGCCTCCTCCAAAAGACCATCTCTGCATTTACTGATGTGCAGGGCAATAGGCAATAGAAGTGGCTTCTGAGAATATTATAACTATTATAGATGTGTTGGAGTGTGTAAAAATGACTTAGTAAAGTTGAAAAGATTCAGCACCAGGACTTCTCTGCTTGCCTGGGAAAACTTAATGGATATAAAAGGCAAGGTTAGAAGGTAATAAGATTAAGATAAAACCTAATCAAAATAGCTCCTTGTTATGAAATATCCTTCTCGCCCTTCAAAATATCCTTTTCTAACACAATACATTTATTGCATCTTTTAGTTCATTTATCAAAGATGTTAGATGCCAACAATAATTTTTTATTACACTTACTTTTACATTTATTTCAAGGAAAGGAAAATATTTTCAAGGAGCCAGGTAATCAAACACAATCAAGTAAAAATGACACTTTTTATTGAGTGCCCACAGGTGTCAGGTACTTTATTATATATTATTTCATTTAATCCTCCTAACTATGCAAAGAATTTTTATTGTCATTCTTGCAGCTGAAGAAATCAAGCCTCAGAGAAGATAAGCAATATGTTTAAGGGCACACCATCACCAAATTACGTGGCCCAGATATGAAATTTAGCCATTATTCTTTTTGCTGTAACACTTAGTCCTTATTTTTCCATAATTGTGACTTCTACAACAAATGTAAAGACGTTTTATCATAGTAAATTAGTGTAAGTGACTGCCCTAGGTTGCCCAGAATGGAGAAGTTCCCCAGATGTGGAACTTTTAGTGCTAAAACCAACAGAGTCCCAGGAAAACAAGATAGTTGGTTCCCCCTATTTGAGAGGCAGATGTATTCAATGGGATGGATACATTTTCAGGAACTGCACTGATAGTCTTTCAACACTCTAGAATAATATAACTCACCATTTATTTCTTGTCCTAGTAGTAAGTCATGATTTCAAATAGCCTTCCTTTTTCCTCCCACCACCACGCATACACAAACATGTCTCCAAACATGATGTTTCTAGTACTTAAACAAAAATCGGATAAGGAAAGCCAGTTTTTGCAAAGCAATTATGACTAGGTTGATTGGAATCAAGGAGCAATCCAAAATGAGAAATGCCCAACCCAAAGAGACAGGTGCTTCAGGAAATAATTTATTCACTTTTTTAAACTACCATTTAGTGAACACTTACTAAGTGTCAGATACAATGCTAAGCATTTTACATGTCATATTTTATTTTATTCTCACAGTAACCTAATTTTAATATAAGGAAACTGAAGTTCAGGAAGACTCTGTAGTTTTCCCAGTATTACACAGGTAGTAAGTGATAGAGATGTGATCAGACCCAACTCTACCAATAAATTGAAAGCTGTTCTCACTGAAAACATTTACCATAGGATGTATTAAGACTTGTTCAGTCAGCTCAATTCATGTAGCCTTTTATTGAGAATGTATAATGCTGCAGGATTCATGCTGGAGACCACACAGAATATACAGCTGAGTGAGCCACAGTCCCTGCCCTTCAACCATGATTTGTAAGAGAACAGTTGGCTGCGGGGAAATGAGATACACAAGTTAACAAGTAACAGACAAGGAGTGGAGTATGGTGGGTGCCATAGACAGATACCAATGCTGTGAAATTCAGAGGAGGGAGAGAACTATCGGTTTGGGTAGACACTTCATAATTTTAAACATGTCCATTTACCCAAAATTTGTAAATCATTATCACGTATTGTGGTTTTATACATACATAAATGACAGATGTTCTAGCATAACTTTCACCATGAACATTGTGCAAAAATTGCTATCACCGTGTCAGGCATCTACTGCATTAGCTGTGCATAAACTATGTTAATATTTTATATGTTATTAATGCAATATGTTATAATTTCCAGTTAACTAGATACAAATTTTTTTTCTGCTGCTTATTTTAATAGGTAAGAAAAAACAGCTTTAGCTAAGCAAACTTCTTAACAGAGGAAATATAATTTTATAGTAAAGGGTTGATTGAATAAATCTCATTAAAACATATTCTCCCTGGATTAAAAAATATATATGTGTGTGTATATATATATACATATATATATATATGTATATATATATACCATTTTTTAGCATAGAAATTTAGACCTACAAAAAATGAGAAAATGTAGATAATAATTTTTCCACCTGGAAATAACTAGATACAAATTTTAGGCACAAAATATTAGTCTTAGTACCTACACTTTTTATTATATCAAACACTTCATTATATAATATAATTGGATAAAATTATGTTCTGGTTAATTTAATTATGTTTAATTAACTAAATTTTAATGTATGTTATATGTATAGGTACCTACTTTCAAATGACTTAAAAACTGACAAATATAATTATCAGCAAATTATAATAAATAATATTTAATCTTTTTGTTAGTGATAACTTAGAAAATACTTGTGAACTTGTGGTTACACAAAATTGTGTTGTGATGATCAATAATTATTACTGAATTGGTGAAAACTCAAAGTACTGATGAGTATATTTCCTACAGTCAAAGGCTAGTTAACAGAAGAGGCCATAACAGTGTGGCGTTTGAAAAATATTGGTGAGACTATTCACTGAAACAGTGTGTCCTCTTTTTAGGACTTTTAAAAGGTAGATTGATGCTTCCCTAATTTCTATTAAAATATTTCATTATGATTTAGCTTTCTTCAATTCATTCTATAACATTAAATTTATTAACCAAGAGTTATATTATGCAGCACTTCCACACTTCACTAGTACAACAATAATTGATATTCATAATAATGACCCCATGTCATCACAAGATTCTAAAATGTCTTCTGAGTGAAGAGACTGGATCATGTTCATTATAATTTTACAATTTTAGTTATAGATACATTCTATTTTATGGGTCATTCTTCAGAGGAACTACTTAAAATTAAAAGTTTGTCATTGTTTTATAGTTGACACATAAAAAAGATTAATCAGGTTGCCAAAGATTTCACATTCTGTCACAGCAACCTTAATTTTCCTAAAAGATCTGCCCAGGGACCTCTCACCAAGTCTGGTTTCTCATTAGGGCCTCATCAGATTCTCAGCTCATCTCCTGGGCAGTGATGCCTAACTCCCCATGAACCCAAAGAGAACTTCCAGCTCTCACAAAATCCCATTCTCAGCTCCATTCCCTTGAGGATGACTCCAGCACAATGCTGCCTTCAGGATCTCTTCCCCTCTATCTCCAATCCTTGACAGGAAAAAGAAGTTGCCTTAGAAAAAGTGGCACCATTTAGAGATAGAATCTTCCAAGGTGACCACAGATTCTTTGATGTGAAGCCACTGATTCTTTGATGCCCAGATTCTTTGATGTGAAGCCACTACCTAAAAACACTCAGTGCTCCCCACTGAACAGTGAGAACCCAGGCTCATCGGGGAATCCAGGGCTAAGCTATCATGAGTCCTTTCCTTAGAATCATGCTGGAGTAAGCACCCTTTCCATCCTCAACTTCCACTGCCCCAGAGCTGCAGGTCAGCTGAGCTCCTGCACTGCTGACTTATGCAGGACAGAGCCAGAGACCACTTGGGTACAGAGCCCACCAGTGAGGCCACTCTAGCTGCTTATTTCTGCTCTCCTCCTTCCCTGGCTCCATACTTCCTGGAGTGGGAAGTTTGCCCAATTCTAGGAAATACCTGGGTAAAGCATTTATTTTGTTTTAAATCAACCAAAATTGAGTTTATTTTTATTTATTTATTTATTTATTTGAGACAGAATGTCACGCTTCCCCCAGGCTGGAGTGAAGTGGCATGATCTCGGCTCACTGAAACCTCCACCTCCCGGGTTCTGAGGGATTCTTCTGCCTCAGCCTCCCAAGTAGCTGGGATTACAGGCACCCGCCACCACATCTGGCTAATTTTTGTAGTTTTAGTAGAGACAAGGTTTTGCCATATTGGCCAGGCTGGTCTCGAACTCCTGATGTCAGGTGATCCACCCGCCTCGGCCTCCCAAAATGCTAGGATTACAGGCGTGTGCCACCACGCCCAGCCCAAAATTGAGTTTAAAACAAAAAGAATTTTTAATGAAAAAATATTAATGTGATAGTGAATTACATATATTTACACTCTTATGTTACTTACCTCAGGGGAGTTGAAAATTTCAACCCATAAATCCTTTCACTCTCATTTTCTAACAGTTACACATTTTGCCCATGGTCAAAGTGCAATCTTGACGGCTTCTGTTATAGCTTCCCTCCCTGAATAGCAGAGGGTGGAAATGTATACTGATTCTGTTTGTTCTATGCCATGTTCACTAAACTGCTGGAAAATGTCCTGAAACCAATATAACTTGTGCATGTATTAGCATATATTCATAGACATTAGCCAGGTGTGGTGGCAGGTGCCTGTAATCTCAGCTACTCTGGAGGCTGAGGCAGGAGAATCCCTTAGAACTTGGGAGGTGGAGGTTGCAGTGAGCCGAGATCGTGCCACTTCATATTTGTATAAATCTGATAAGTGAAAATCTGATACCTGGACAGAAGATAGTGGGCTTTGTAGAGAGGGTGTGATCTGGAAGAGACTGATCTCTTTCTTAGAGAAGACTTCTAATTGTGTCAACATAGGCAAACTTTTTATATCAGAACGTGTCTAGAGCACAGATAAACTTTACTAAATCTCAGTTGGAAATTGCATGACTTCTATAAAAATGTCAAAATAGAATAGGCAAGGGAAGCTCAATTTGCCGATGCCAGATTCTTGTTAAGAAAGTTTTAATGATGCTCCCTCTGTTTGTTTGTTTGGTTGGTTCCTAGGGGAAAATAAGCTGGTAGGGGACCTTCTGGTCTTAGGAGGAGCCACACTCTATGGTATTTCTAACGTCTGGGAAGAATACATCATCCGAACTCTGAGCCGAGTGGAATTCCTGGGAATGATTGGTCTCTTTGGAGCATTTTTCAGTGGAATTCAATTGTGAGTAAAAATAACAAGAAATATAGATAGTAGAGGGACTGTCAAGACTTATTCTTACAATTTTTGTTCTTGGGATGTAAAAATCAAGGCTGGAATCCAGACACCAGCTTCCTGTACAAAGGACTTATGTAATCTGCCAACTCAATATCTTTATTAGTAAATCACCTCCAAATTAAACAAGTTTAATATAAATTTTTACAAAACACTTAATGTTTATAAAACATTGTAAATAATTTGCAGGAAAGCATTAGAAGCATTAGGATTGATTCTCTGAAATCCATGAGTGGGTTATTACTTAGAGAAGTAGAAAAACTAAGCATAAATGCCCCAATTCAATGCATTTCCAAAAAGGAACATTCTGTCTACTAGTGACAACCACCAATAGAAAACTTATAGTATAAAATTACCCTTTTATAAATGTGTGATTTTACTGCCCGTGGATTTGCAAGAGTGGACCATATTTCAAATTTATCTCTTAGAATTTAGCATTTCTATTTTCCTTAAAAAGGTGAAGTTATAATACAGACATTCACTAAGCATCACAAAGTCAAAAGCACCAGTTTTGCAATAATTCTACAACTGGAACGTATAAGTCATCCCTGACTATTGCCTCAGAATTTGTTATGAGCATAAGTTTCAATCAAAGCAATTTTCCACCAGTAAAGACCAATATTTTAGCTTCATGAAAGACATGAAGAATGATAGTATAACCTCCAGTCAAATTTTACTGAATCCCTTTCTACAAACAGGTAATTCTGATTTCACCAATCTCTTTCTACAAAGCAAGCACTTTCTAATTGCATGGGTTCAGTGTCTGAAATTATTTATGGAAGATATTTTAGCATCACCTTAAACAGGTTTTACAAATAGGCTGTTTTCAACAATCCACCAAATTTTGGTGTCTTGAGATACTGGTGAAAAACTTCACAGCAAACAAGGCACAGTCTGAGAAGGATTTATTTGGGGTCCATTTTGAAAGTGATGGCATTTTAAAGCTCCTAAATTTTGTGCTTCAGCTTTGTGAAAGGAAAAGGAATTATCTAGTTCAACTATTCATAGCCAACATTTTGTAGATAGATGGCTTCTTTTATGGGTTATTATTCTTGAGTCCAAAAAATATGTTCAGAGATCTAGTGCTCATTTGCTTCAGTTACAGTCTATTAGAGTTGAGTGTTCCCTTTGGGGGACAATGCCACCAAAATAATGGAAGTGGCACTAGGGTGTCCTTGGCAAGTGGGATATATTGAGGGCTCACTGGAATCAAAGTAATGCTGGTGGAGTGATACCAATGCCACCTCCCCATTCTCTTCTAGATGAGAGGTTCTCAAAATATGGTCCTCTGAGCAGCAGCACTGACATCACATGAGAACTTGCCAGAAATGCACATCCATGGATCTCACCGGATCTCTGAATCAGAATCCCTAGGGTTGGGACCAGGAAACAGTGTATTTTAACCCACTCTCCAGTTGGCTGTCATGTACATTTAACTTTGAGAACCATTGCCCTAGAAAACACTCAATCAGAAAATTGATTACACCTGCAAGCACAGACATTTTCTGAACCTCACCATTTGCTTTTCAGAAAGTATCTGTCAAACAGAAACAAAGGCTGTAGGCAGACTGTTTGGGTGAGAAGAGCAGGAAGGGTTGAGCGCCCCAGGGCCCCGTGGCACACCCTCACACACCGACCGGGTTCTTCAGGGATAAACTGCACTCTGCCTAATTAGACTTGCTTCTGCATGACCCAAAATTCTTTCTGAAATTCATCTGGTTGCTTCATTATTTGTATACATCTGATAAGTGGGGGGGAAAAAAGAAAGAAAGAAAGTAGAGTGCATTCTAATCTTGCTCATCAGGTTCATTTCCTTTGAATTTGCAGAGCTATAATGGAGCATAAGGAACTGTTGAAGGTGCCCTGGGACTGGCAAATAGGTAAGGAGTTGGCTCACATACGATGCTCTTTTTATAACCTGAGAAATGTGTTTGAAGAATGATGTGGGTCGGGTGGAGCACAAACAAGGAGGGGATTTAGAGTGGTAGGGGACAAGGGAAAATGAAATCCCTTTGTCATTTCAGGAAATCCTGCACACTCTGAGAGACTAAATTGTATTATTCATAGTGTTTCCTAATTGAGCTTCTGCCCATTTTCATTGCCAAGATGCCATTAGGGGAGACACAGAAGTGTGTTATTAGGTTAAACACCAACAGAAAAAAAAAACTGGCCTGAGGCAGTGGTAGCACATAAGTGACAGCAATTTGCCTTAGCCAAGAAACACTAAACTGATGTAACCATTAAAAAGTGCTACTTTAGTAAAGGGAAAAAAACTGAACTTAACAAAAAGCCATGAAAGGAAACAATGTAATGGGCATTCTGAGCCCATAAAAACCTTTCAGAAGGGAGCAGTTTGCACGAAAGAAATGGTTAATTGGTCTCCAAATGGATTTAGAAAATACCAGACACGCTTTGAGCTAGTTAATAGTCATCCAGGACTTCTCAGGTTCCACCTGTTTCTAAAACCACTTTCCTCAAAGAAATTTAGGACAAGGATTTAAGATCCTAGGACATGCTGTAATGATCAATCTCAGCAAGCCCTAAAAGGGACTGACATTTGCTACCCTCAGAAGGTGTCTCCACAGTGAGCACAGAACGTGGCTTATGGAATTGCATGGAAAATGTGTGCAGAGTGAATGTAAGTGGCAGGGAGGGGGCTACAGACTCTTCCCCACACTGAAGCTGGCTGCTTGAGCCATCTCCCCCTTATATGACCTTTGATACAACTTTAGCCAAATTCTGTGTCCATAAGGAAACACAATAAAAACATAAACTCCCGTGCATCACTTTACCTACCTGTCCCCATCCCCTAAGCATATGAGGCCAACTTACTGCAGACATCATTCCCTCTGAAGGCACATTGTGAGCCACAGAACTGTGCCTGACTCTCCCTAGGGTTTCTCTCTAGTGACTTCGAGGGCTGACCAGCCTTGTGTCTCAGAGTCCTGCCATTTAATTTCTCTCCAGTTGTGCTACAGAATTATATAATTAAATGAAAATCAACAGGGCAAGGAGAGAGAGAAGAGGAGGGCAACAGGGAAAGGAAACCAGTTGCATGTTACAGAAAGCATTTGTCTTTGTGACCCACAACACCAGAAAACAAAATGTTACCTGTGCTTGACAGCACTTCACATGCAGTGGTCCATGAGTATAAATTAATTTTATATTGATGGTAATAGTAATGATCAAAAAGAATTTGTCCTCAAACTATGTGGATGCCATGTGCATATCCACTGAGGTTCTGTTATAATTCAGTGTTAGTTAAATGAGTCATCAAAAGATAGTTTTATTCTGAGCTCTCATATTGCCATTAAAACGTCAGTCCCCTATAGTTGAAGATGATGAAGGACAGTGTAAAAGGAACACATTACAGAGCCATCCATTTAATTTCTGATTGGAAATGAGGCCAAAATGGCCTCCATAGCACAGTAGGGTGAATTTAGTTAACAATAATTTATTGTGTATTTCAAAATAGCTAGAAGAGATTTAGAATGTTCCCAACACACACAAAAAAATTAATCAATGGTTGAGGTGATGGATATCCCAAATGCCCTGACTTGATCATTACACATTGCATGCATGTATCAAACTATCACATGTACCTCATAAATATGTACAATTATTATGTATCAATAAAAAATGGCCTCAAAGGGGAATCAAATACTCATCTTCCTCTTTCTGAAGCATTTGTAGGGTTGCGTTTGGGATGTGTTTACACCAGGGCCTCCTTGGTCCTCATTATCTCGCCCTGACCTACTGCAAGGTTGTGTTGTTAGCTCAGTTCTAGACACATGGCATGCAGGGGATAAATGTTTACTAAGTGAGCAAATGAATGAATGGCAAGCAACAAAGATGGTCCTATTCTTTCCTCTCTCACCTCACAAAATACAGACAAAAGGGAAGAAGTGGAGACAATGGCAGGAGACTTTAAGCTTGACATTGCACTTTCTTTCTGTGGAACTGGGAGATGGCATAACAGCCACTGCAATTCATGGGTCACAGAGGCAGGGAGATATCAAGGGAAGGTCAGCACCCTCTCAAACCCACCCCACACTCCTTGAGAAGTCACCCGAGAGGCCAAGCTCTGATGACTATGTCCTGATGGAAAGCTCACATTCTTCTGTTTAGGAGACCAGAATCCAATAAGCCTTCATTTCTCAGCATCTGTCAATGAATTTCTCTGCCTCCCCACTTTCCACATTAGTAATCTAACCTCATATAATCTCTTGGACAACTCATGTGGTTGCCATTTTATCAAAGTGGAAAGATGGTTGTTGTTGTTGTTTTCCTTGGGGTTAATAAATATGTTTTCTATTTTTTCCTTTGGGATACATGTTTTCTATTTTCTTAACCCGAAGCACTTTTAAAAACAGATTTTGTTATTTTCCTACAACACTGGCCAATTGCAAAATATAGAGCAATTAAAAGCAAGAAGATAATAGTTATTGTTGTTTGTTTTTATTCCATTGTTTTACAGTACTGAACAGAAAGACTGATTGTGATTATCTAATCAGTAAACTCAAGTAAAATGTATGATCGAATACAGCTAAAAATACCCTTCTGGGGAGCAGGAATGTTAGAGTCACATTCATAAGTCTAATAAACAACTTAAACATTCCCTTTACCCCACGGGTCATACTGTCATACTGTGGGTCATACTGTGCTAAAGGATGTGTGAACAAGTGCAATCAATGTGAAAGTCAAATGTCAGAGAAAAGAAAAAGTGTGCCGGGTCAGTGAGCACAGGCTTGTGGTATGCAGGGGCCTTCTTCACTTTTGATGTTGTGGTTGATGCTTGTCTTGGTTTTGGTTTTAGTGTTTTTCCTGGAGGCCAAAACAAAAGAAAGATTTGGCCTCTCCCTGAATATGGAATAATGGGACTACAGAGCAGGAAAAGACCTAAAGGATAATTAAGAATACACCTTTCCTGGCCAGGTGCAGTGGCTCACACCTGTAATCCCAGCATTTTGGGAGGCTGAGGCGGGCGGATCACTTGAAGCCAGGGGTTCAAGACCAGCCTGGCCAACATGGTGAAACCGTGCCTCTACTAAAAATACAAAAATTACCTGGGTGTGGTGGTGCATGCCTGTAGTCCCAGCTACTCAGGAGGCTGAGGATCACTTGAACCCAGGAGGCGGAGGTTGCAGCGAGTCGGGATCACGCAACTGCACTCCAGCCTGGAAACAGAGCAAGAGTCTGTCCCAAAAAAAAAAAAACAATACACCTTTCTTTTTACCCATGTTGAATCTGAGGCCTAGGGAGTTGAGGTGACTTGACGAGCATTACATATCTGAGCAAAGCCAGCCCAGTGCCCTTTATACACTTAACCTAATGCATATGTTCTGAGAAGTCATCTAACCTAGCTATTGTTTTTAAGAATTACAAATAATATTTTAAAACTCTGGTATGTTCAAAATAAAGAGAAAGAACACAACTGAAATCCCAAAGAAAAAGACGAAATCAAATATATGTAGCATATACAGACACATACTTTATATATATATAGTAACTCTCTCTCTCTCTCTCTCTCTCTCTCTCTATATATATATATATATAAAATATTAACTGAGGTATTGATAGGAGTCAAATAGGATGTTCCTTCAAAGCCTTATTTCTCTTTATAATAATTAAACAATATAGATGAGTGTTATGTATTCAGAATTTAAAGTCAGGCTGCCTATGTGACCTAAGGGCAAGTTACTTAACCCCTGTAAGCTGGTCTGTTGCCTGTTTACTCACAGATCCATCTTTTACCCTTTCCTCTGCTCTGCTTATGCAAATCCACATCCCAGCCTCCCTTGTCAACTGGATTCCAGTCAGTTTTGGCCAATGGGAGGCAGTAGAGGGAGATTGGAGGTGGGAGAAAGAAAGAAAGAAACCATTGTTTCTCTCTGTGTCCCTCTGTTTGGGGTCAGATCTCCTCTAGATGTGGCTGAGTCTCCTCTGTGATTCTACCCCTGCTGGGCTTCCCTAACTTCTGATCTCAGGTAATGTGGCCTCCCTCTTGTATTTCCCTAGCTCTTGGGTTGTGAGTAACTCCCTGGTATTGCTAATCTTCAGGTTGTCTCACCATCCCTGTTTCCCCATCACCCATTTGAACACCTTTGTAACTTGTACTCCATATAACATATCCTCTATTTAACCCAGTATGGACTGTGTTTCTTGACTCTATAAGCCTATTTCCTAACCTGTATAAAGAGGATAGCAATAGTTATCAGCATTACACTGTTGTGGAGATTAATTACTGTACATAAAGTACATGACACATAGTGAGTGCTCAATCCATATTAGCTGATAATAGTATTTCCCATCTCTGTAGCTTAAATCACTTTAGTGCATAAGGACAAGAGTGATCAAATTCTATCCTTAGTGAGAGAGAGAACATTCCAAGAGGAAATGTTTATACACATACTCTGTTATAAATGTAGTTACTGCAGCCATTTTGTAGTTGTCAGTCAAAAAGTAATTCAGTTCATTTGTATGATCATGCTGATCAATTGAAAACCCTACCTGGACAGCAAGTTGGACTTTCAGAGGCATTGTTAATGTCCATTAACTATCTAATGTCCATCTAAGAACAGCCAAGGAAGGGCAACGATACTGCATTCCAACTCTCAATTTAATCATGTGTTAACTAGGCTGGCTATGCTTTGCTTGGGAAACAGTATATTCACATGCAAAAACATCGGTTGACCTAGTTGTCAATTGTGATAGTGTATATATTCCACTCCTGTCCCCCTACCTCTAATTTCTGCAACATTTAAAAATAGGTTGAGAATATTTTAGCTGGAAGCATCATAAGGTAGCCTGGTTAGCAAAGTGCCATGTATTTATTTCCCTACTCTCCTTTGCTCACCAACTGGGCTTGTAAAATCTCACCACTTCTCTGAGTCCTCCAATTATATATCCAGCTCCCTACTGGACAGATCCTTTTGGATAATGCATAAGCGTCGAAAACAACACATTCAAAATGGAGCATTTTATTTCTCCTGAAAATCTGGTCCTCTTTTAGCTCCCTCCATCTCAGTATATGGCGTCACAGTTCACCTAGTTTCTAAATTAGCCAGAACCCCTGGGCATCCTCCATGCTCTCCTTTCCCTCACCACCTACATCAGTCTATCACCAGGGCTTCTTGAGTCTTCACAGACCACTTCCCTTCTCCACTGCCGTTTCGAGCAAAACCAAGCAAGCTACCAGCCTCTCTTGCCGGGATTGTGACACCGCCATTCTAACTGGTCTCTGTAACTGGTCCCATGCTTTTCTCCTTCCAATCCCTTCTCCACAGAGTAGCCAAAATCACCTTTTGAAAATGTAGATCAGATTCTTTTAGTCAGCTGCCGCAAACTCCTCAATGGCTTCCTCGTACAACTAGAATAAGATACACATTCCTTTCTGAGACCTGCAAGGTCTGGCATAATCCATTCCCTTCCCAATTTTCCAGCTTCCTCTGCCCGTTCTCTTCATTCTGCTCAGCCATTGTGGCCTTGGTCAGCATCTGGGACACTTGAGGCCCTGTCCCTTTCAGGAACTTTTCATGTGCAGGTTTCCTTGGCTCCTCTCCTGGCAATCTCCTTTTGGTCCTTCAGCACTCGAGGTAAATGCCACCTCCACAAAGTAGCCCTACCTCACCACCCTGTCTAAAGCAAGCTCCTGACATTCTCTTTAAGAAACACTTGTCTTTCTGCATAGCATTAATAGCAACTCTAAGCTTCTTGTCTATCCTGTTTTTCATTGTTCCTAGCCCACAGCAGAGTGCTCAGGGCATGGTTAGTACTCAGAGAATAATAGTTGAATAAATGAGTGAATATACCAACAGAGCCCACAAGTCAAAGTCCACGCAAAATGATGGAAGGGTATTATTCTGGAACTTTCTAACCCAGTCATGGTATTTAAATCAGTGACACCTTCAAAAAACAAAAGAAAAACGGAAACAAGGCTCTGGTGCCTAGATTGTGTTCCGATCAAGTTTTATTATTTTTAGTGGATTAATTTGAGGATTGATCTTGTCCCTAGTCTGTTAATCACAGATTTCTTTAAGGAGTACCAAATTAATTTTTATGTCTTTTCATGTATTAGTCATAAGTTATGTAATACTTATTGCATTTTTAGTAGTTTGGTTAAAAGGAAAATGCACTACAGGGAGCATGAAACCCACATGCAGAAAAACGGTCCGTTTTTAGAGAATTCAAGCTTCTGATAGAGAATTAAAAACCAAACTAATATTACTGCGATAGAATCTACACGTAGGACTTTTACCTTTCCGAAATAGGAAAGTGGTTGTTCCCCCTTCCTCTGAGGGCACTTCTACCACGCTAGAGGGGGCTGTTGTACTGAGTTTACTTACTTATGTTCAGAATAATTTTTTTGTAGATCTGATGTGGCTTTCATATGGAACGATGATTTGTGCCCTTAAGCACTTTTCATATGGGTAAACCCAATTTATCTTTGGATGAATCCCTGGTCTTCATAGTCAGAAAGACCAGATATTCGGTACCTACCAAACTCCCCAAAATCCCTAAGTCAGAGGAAGCAAATCTGCCCACAGCCCACACCAGATACATTTAATCAAGGATTCCTTTGGAAAGGTTATTTTTATTATGTTGTAATACCAAGGCAGACACTGAATTTTAGCACTTATGCTTATCCTATGCCTTATTCTTTCAAGGTGGAGAAAAGAGCATTATTTTTTTTTTACATTTGCATTGTATCAACATTTGGGGAAAGTATAGATTTAGCTGTAAACTCCTGCTTGGGACCCTGCAAAACAGAGTACCCATGTCTAGGCATAATTACAGAGAAAGAGAGAGATTTGAGGATGAGAGATTGGCCACATAGTATTTTAAGGTCATGAAAGCCCACATGTGAGAGTTCACAGTATGCCAGGACATGTGATGGAAGGGCAGGATTCTGTGTGTTTTGGGTAGAGCAGAACAGAATTCAGAAATCTGGAGGAGACTGACAGATCATCATGTATTCCCAGCAATGAATTCGTCCACCCAAGGCCACACAGTCAAGATTCTAATTCAGTATTCTAAGTCCAGGTCTCTTTGACATGCAAGCTCTTCAACTTTAAAGACTACGTAGTTATTCATCATTGTGGGCAATACATGATAGCAAGCAGTTTTGTTGCTATTACTCAAATTAAAAACTAAGAGGTAAAAAAAAGTTTCAAAATAGATGAGTAGCAAAAGCTGATTACAGCACAATTGGGAGAATTCAAAAACCTTGATTCTGTGTTCTGACTATCGCCACTAAGAGGCACTCCTTCCCAGAAGAAGCAAAATGTCAGCAATGCAATAAGAAGCAGAAAGTTCATTTTTCACACTTAATTTTTTTTAATCTAGTTTAATTTTTGTACTGTGTTATCCAATAATAAACATCAGTGAATAGGGGAAAAGAGAAACTGCCTTGTGTGAGTGACAAGTGGTGTGCACTCTTCCCCTTCTTTCCTGCTGTGGATGCTGAAGATGCCCTGGAGGAGGCCCTGACGCTGCCTTCTCTTTACTCTTCCCCCAGGACTGCTCTACGTTGGCTTTAGTGCCTGCATGTTTGGTCTCTACAGCTTTATGCCAGTCGTCATAAAGAAAACCAGTGCCACTTCAGTCAACCTCTCCTTGCTCACAGCAGACTTGTACAGCCTGTTCTGTGGATTGTTTCTCTTCCACTACAAGGTAAGTTGAGTGAGTGCTCCTTTGTGAAGATGATACTTTGTAGGAAACAATGAACATGGGTAGGAATGCCTGGATGTGAAATGCCCTGATTTTGTGTAGGGAATAGTAATGTAACTGGGTGTGCTAACCTCCATGATTTAGGTATTCACATTTCAGCTATAAGACAGAGACATTTTGTCCTATGAGATCAGTAACTATGGACAATTGATAGGAAAAGATAAGAAACAGCCATAAAGGAAAGAGCTTTTGAATACTGGGGACAGCTTTCCTGATAGCATTCAGCCCAGAAGCTACTCTTTTTCCAATACGAACCTAGGAAGAGTTGTACAATTCCCAGACTACAGCTGCAAAATGGATTCTGCGAAAGGCCTTGGCAGAGTATGTTCTCTTTGGAGAAAAGACACAATTCCTGCAGTTTCTGCTTTGCAGATTTTTTTATAGCAAATATGAATGGAAAATGCTAATGCACTAGAAATAGTTTTTTTACTAAAAGATTGGGGTTTGAGTAAAGGAATGCAAAGAGATCATGTGAGGCACTTGCAGTGAATGCATCAGCCCTGAAGAAAAGAAGAAACTGTCCAGTCCAAAGATGTCAGCCTCTCAGAATGCAAAACTCTACCCGCATCTTTGCCCTAGGGAGGCATGACTAATTGATTATGGCACACTGAGGTCAGATCCTACTCCTCTTAACACCACACTCACTGCTGCCAATAACAATCAATTAGAATTGACATATGAGAAGATACCACTTGCCATTCCTTAACAAGTCCTGTAAGACAAGAGTCAACAGGGACTATGACCCAGTGTGAAACAGACCAAATATGGAATGTCCAAGCAGATAAGACCAAACTTGGATAGCTGAAAGAAGAAGAGGCAGAAGAAAAGAGACACTACTCTGGCCACTTCTAGCCAAGTTCCTCACCAGTGGTATTACAGCCACCATCCGCAGCACTCGGGGGTGGCCAGATGATGGGGCACCTTGGTAGGCAGAGCATCTTCATCCAGATGAAACAGGGTGTAGACGTTCCTGGAGCAACAATAAGCTAAAAAGAGCATGTACTTGATATGATCAGGGCAAAGCAGCTGAAGTGAATAATCAGGATTACTACTGAGAGAAGCAAAAGTCATAGCCAAGAAACCGATGCAGAAGGGCAGACACGGGTGAAAAAGAAGTTACAAACGAAGCTAGTTAGTAGCTAGGAGGATCAGAAACAGATCTGAGAGATGGTACAAGTTGAGAAAGTGGCTGTGACAGCAGACAGGAATAAAGTTCCTATTTTTCCTCCAGCTTTATTGAGGTATAACTGAGGAATAAAAATTGTACTATATACAGTATTTAAGATGTACAACATGATTTTTGGATGTATGTATACATTGTGAAATGTTCACCACAATCAAGCTAATTATATCCATCACCTCACATAGTTACCTTTTTTCTGTGTGTGTGTGTGTGTGTGTGTGTGTGTTTGTGTGTGTGTGTGGTGAGAATACTTAAGATCTACTTCCTTCGCAAATTTCAAGTACAGGTTACCACTAACTATCATCACCATGCTGTATGTTAGGTCTCCAGAACTTACTCATTTTATAACTGAAAGTTTGTACCCTCTAGCTATCATCTCTCCATTCCCCCAACAAGTTCCTATTTTATATGGAGCCTTTTGCCCAATACAGTGGCAAAACCGAGAGCTTAAAGAAAGTATCTAGGACTAGGCAATGTTTATTGTTTGCAGTTTGTTTCGTCTGTATGGAACAAGCTGCTTCCCAAGCTACCTTGGTCCTCATAAGGGTAAAAAGCAAGATCACAATATATTCCTCTCGTGCTGCTCCTAACCAGTGCTGGGAAGACCAGCTTCCTTCAAAATCCCCCTCCTCACACACCCAGTCATTTTCCAGAGCTCTGGGGAACACCTGGCTATGGGTTCATCCTCACAGCAGAGTGGCCACCAATATTCTTCTCTCCTCTTCAGTTAAGCATCCACATCTAGTCCATTACTTGGTGTGAACTCAGTTCTTAGCAATTAATCTTGTAATTTGCTTTATAAGCTCCTGAACTAGGAGAATCCCTTTAATCTTCCTTAAGGGAAGATAACCAAAATCTGTTGTTCTGCTGAGGGCTGCAGTCACTGCTTGGGCAGTTCAGACCCAGGCCAGCTCCCAGCATGCCTGAGAGCAGTGTTCTCGAAAATCTGGTTTCACTGGGGTGCTTGATAAAAATGCAGATTTTTGGGCCACACCCCTAAGCCACAGAGTCAATATCTGGAGATGTGTCTGGGGGAGTCTGGTTGGTAACATGTTCCCCCTGGCAGTCTGATGCCCTCTGAGTTTGAGAACCACTGTCTTTGATAACAGTGTACTCGAACAGTGCCTGTTCCTGTCTGGGTCTGTCCTTTCCCACACTTCCACTGATGTGGGGTTAAACCTGGGGTTCCTCAAACTTACACACATCAGGAAATGAGAGGGCTGATACGCTAATTCTCGGCAATCTATCCTCTCCTCCTGTCATTTGTATATTACTATTCATTGAGGATAAGTAACTTCGCTGAAGAGGAAACCATGTAGTAACCCCTCATTATGCCATCAGAAGGGAGGCTGTGTTATCTGAAAATTAAATTACTGTATTCACTAATTTAGAATTGTAATGGATATTTTTATTTCATACAGCAATGATTTGGGTTTTTTTTTTTTTTGGTATGGCAAAATACACATACATTTTGTTACTATTTGAAAGATAAATTTTCTTAAAGCAGGGATTGATCCAACATAGTAGTCATTTCTTCTAGTTAAAATTTATTTCTATTGCCTTTTTAAAAATTAAACTATGAATATACTTGTAGATTCACGTGCACTTTTAAGAAATAATAGAGAAAGCCCAGTTAACCCCTGTGAGCCCAAGTATCTGAGATAGGTCTCAATCAATTTGGAAAATTTATTTTGGCAAGGTTAAGGGTGCACCCGTGACACAGCCTCAGGATGTGGTGACAATATGTGCCCAAGGAGGTTGGGGAACAGCTTGCTTTTTATACATTTTAGGGAGACATAATACATCAATCAATATATGTAAGATTTACATTGATTTGATCTGGAAAGGCCAGACAACTCAAAGCAGAGGCTTCCAGGTCACAGGTTAGATTTAAACATTTTCTGATCAGCAGTTGGTTGAAAGAGTTATTATCAATAGGAAGGAATGCCTGGTTTACCATAAGGGGTTGTGAAGACTGGGGTTTTATCATGCAGATGAAGCCTCCAAGTAGCAGGCTTCAGAGAGAATAGATTGTAAATGTTTCTTATCGTATTTAAGGTCTGTGTTGATATTAATGCCAGTTGGCTCTTCCTGAATTCCAAAAGGAAGGAGGGTACAGTGAGGCATGCCCAACTCCCCCTTCCCATCATGCCCTGAACTAGATTTTCAGGTTAACTTTGGAATGCCTTTGGCTGAGAGGGAGGGTCCATTCAGATGGTTGGGGGGGCCTTAGAATTTTATTCTTGGTTTACACTCTTCACCTAGTCACTCACCCCTAGTGATAACATCTTGCCAAACTGCAGTACAAAAAAACCCCACAAAACGGTAGTACAATACCAGGATGTTAACACTGATACACTCAACATCCAGAACATTTCCATCAGCACAGGGATTGCTCATGCTGCCCTTTATAACCACACCTACTTCCCTCACCCACCCCCAGCTCCTCAAAATCACTAATTTGTTCTCCATTCCTATAAATTTGTCATTTCAAAATGTTATATAAATGGAATTACACAATGTGTTACCCTTAGGGATTGAGTTTTTCCACTCAGCATAATTCTCTGAAGATTCACTCAGGTTGTTGCATACATCAGTAGTTTATCTTTTTTATCATTCAGAAGTTGTCCATGGTGTGGATATGCCACAGTTTATTTAACCAGTCACCTGGTGAAGGACATCTGGGCATCTCTACTTTTGACTATTACAAATAAATCTGCTGTGAACATTCATGTACAGGTTTTAGTATAAACAGGAGTTTTTATTTCTCAGAGATAAACACCCAAGAGTACAACTGCTGGGTTGTTTGATAACATGTTTAGTTTTTATAAGAAACTGCCAAACTATTTTACAGAGTCATCTATTGTCTTTTATTACAAAGCAATATATATCCATTGTAAGAAAGTCAGAAAATGCAGATAAGTGCTCTTGTACATTGGTACCATTTTAGAGTGGATGTATATTTTTACAGTGCACATATATTTTACAGCTTATATATTTTTAATAAAAATTTAGTTATACCATCCATGGTTTTGTCATATGATTTATTTAAACTTATCATGTATATGTTTCCATATCATTTAATGTCTCTATATTATATAAGCCTAAATTTGTGGTTCTCAACTCTGGCCATACCTTACAATCACATGGAAAAAATATAAAACATAGTCATGCCTAGGTCCTGCCCAAGAAAGCGAGATCCTGATTAATTGGGAGCAGGTTTTTTAAAAGCTCTTCAGATTATGCATCATATATGCTAATATACAGCCAGAGTTGGGAGTCACTAATCTGTACTATTATTTTAATGGCTACACAGCATGCCACAAAATGGTTATACTTCCATTTTTTTAACCCAGGCTTCCTTAACCATGGCGATGTTGATATTTTAGACAAGACAATTGTTTGTTTTGGGGGCCTGTCCTTTGCTTTATCCCTGGCCTTGATCTACCAGATGCCAATGGCATCCACCCAGTAGTGAGAATCAAAAATTTCTCCACACATTGCTAAATATTGAGAACCACTGATTTAACAACCCTTAATTATTGAATTCAGGTGTTATCTCTTTTTGGCTATTAGAAATAATCTGGAAAATTAGCTTCTAAGTTTTTGTTCACATCCAATATTTCAGTGTTTTTTTTTTCAAAATAATTTATATGTAAATATACAAAATTGACTTTTTAATTTCTAATTTGAAACAGAAATCTTTAAAATAATTAGAGAATTCTACTGACCAAACAAGAGCCCTGCACAGAAGCAGTACATGCAAAGCCCTGTTAATATCATGACAACCAATATTAGGACATAGACATATGCTGTATTTCGTCTTCCCCTTCATTCTCATTGTACTTAACTGATACCACACCACTTAGCTCCTGAATAAACACTACCTTGTATTGTTTTCCAGTTGCTTTATGAACAATCATATTTAGTATCTGCAAAAAAAAAAAGCAAAATACTCAATTAATTTAAATCCAAAAATTAAAAAAAAAATTTATTTGCCTTAAAGAGTCTCTAAAAGGCTCTTCCAGGCAATGCTTGAATTTAAAATCAAGTAGTCATTGTTTGGAAAATTCATGTTTCATCCTCAGGGCCCTACTTCCCTGTCTCTAACATTGGCCTTGGGGTCTTCAGGTGGAGAGCCAGAACAGGGAGAAGTGTAGCACTAAGAGGCCCCCAGGTTTCCCACCACAGCCAGATGGGCTATCTCAGAAAATCGACTATTTTTTTTTTTTTCGAGACAGAGTCTCACTCTGTTGCCCAAGCTGGAGTACAGTGGTGCGATCTCGGTTCACCACAACCTCCACCTACCAGGTTCAAGCGATTCTCCTGCCTCAGCCTCCTAAGTAGCTGGGACTACAGGCACTCGCCACCATGCCCGGCTAATTTTTGTATTTTTAGTAGAGACGGATTTTCACTATGTTGGCCAGCCTGGTCTCGACCTCCTGACCTCATGATCCGCCCACCTTGGCCTCCCAAAGTGCTGGGATTACAGACATAAGCCACCATGCCCAGCCAGAAAATTGACTTTTAAATAACATTTATTGAAGTTACTTTTATCATTATGAGCAAATTATGGCCAATGCAAAAATCTTGGTAAATTTTGTAACATTCAAAAATGGTTATGGTGATGATATGGGAGTGGGAGAAGCAGCTGTATCATGTATACACACACACACACACACACACACACACACACACACACACACATATATAATAACTTTGGGAAAAGCTGTGTGTATATATATATCTTTGGGAAGATACATAAAAAAAGTCTATTTTGGGGAAAAAGTATTTAAATCCTTTCCCATTTTTAAATTGGTCACTTGTCTTTTTATTATTGGGCTGTAATAGTTCTTCAGATATTCTGGATACCCGACTCTTATCAGATATATGGTTTGCAAATATTTTTCCCATTCTGTGATTGTCTTTTTACTTTCTTGCTAATGTCTTTAAAACACTAAAGTTTTAAATTTTGATCACACTTTAAATTTATCTATTTGGTTAAACCTGTATAAACATGAAAGGAACCAAGTTAATGCCGCCGCTGCCTTTGAGCTGCCAGGCATTCCCTGGTGGCTTCCATATACGTCTCCTCTCCTGGGCTGCAAGTAATAACTGCTAATTGCCTGGCATTGCTCTAAAGGGATAGTTGGAAATCACAGCCTTCAGGAGAGGCATCTTTAAACTAAATGAAATGTTGTGTGGAAAAGGGTTTAGTCAGTAAGCTTAAACTGAAGAGTTTAAAAAATACTGATGTGGCTGGGCACGGTGGCACACACCTGAAATCCCAGCATTTTGGGAGGCTGAGGCAGGTGGATCACCTAAGGTCAGGAGTTCAAGACCAGCCTGGCCAACATTGTGAAACTCCGTCTCTACTAAAAATACAAAAATTAGCTGGGCATGGTGGCAGGGGCCTGTAATCCCAGCTAGTCGGGAGGCTGAGACAGGAGAATTGCTTGAACCCGGGAGGCAGAGTTTGCAGTGAGCTGAGAGCAGGCCACTGCACTCCAGCCTGGGAGACAGAGTGAGACTCCATCTCAAAAACTAAATAATAAATAAATAAATAAATAAGATACTGATGCTTGGGTTCCCCTCTCACTGATTCTAAGCACCCAAGCATCAGAGGTTTAAAGGCTCCCCAGGTGATTCCAGGGTGTAGCCAGGGTTAGACCCCTGGTTCAGACTTACTGTACATGGCTGCAAGCAGGTAGAACTGGGACCAAAGGGTGAAGTTTACGAGCTTATTGCTAAATATAAAGACACATTGTTAACAAGTAGCTGAAAGTGCAATACACTGTCTTGGGAAGCAGGAGTTTCCATGGCTAGAGGAAGCAGGACACTGATGTGAGAGAGTACCGAGGGGCCTCAGCTTCTGTGCTGAGGATTGGACCACTGACCTAGTAACCTCTGAGAGCTCACTTGGTTTTACTATGGTCTACAATTACAGATTATTCTTTAACTTAATGATGATGTCTTTGAGCAGCTTTCTGGTCTGGTTATAAATATCTGCATGTTGGAGAGGAGGGCTAGTTTTTCACAGATGTTGCTTATCCACGCAGAACTAAATGACTAAATGAAGCTCGCCTGCCTAACATTGATTATTTGGTTGTTTTTTTTTTTTTCACTTTCCACTCTTGGAAAAAATCCATTCCTTTTCCCTCCCATCATTCCGCTGTCTGCAACAGCTCTGCCTCTTGCGCTGACTGCTGTGCTGACTGGACAGTAAAGCCCCATGTTCCTGGGAAGCAAATGACCTAATTCTAAATTCATCTATCTGAAAGGCATAGTGCTTCTGCAAACTCTAAATCTTACAAGACTTTGAGAAGTGGTTATGTATTTCTATTCTTTATTACCTGACAACATTATTGAATCCAGAGCAGTAAATCTATAGCCATCCACAGAAAGCACAGGAAATGAGCTTGACTGGGCCTCAGAGACCCCTGAAACCAAGCCCAGGAAGAGACTGACATGGAGGCTTTTCCATTGGAGGGTGTGCTGGCTTTTCAAGGTCAGAGCTTGGTCTGAGGTCTATCATCTTATAAGTATTGTACAAACAAGACACTGTTGAAATTGAAAGGGTGTTAGTTTCCTATTGCTGCTGTAACAAATTACCACAAATTTAGTGGCTTAAAAAATAACCCAAATTTACTATCTTACAGTTCTGGAAGTCAGAGCCTACTTGGGCTAAAATCAAGTATTAGCAGAGGTATGTTGGTTCTGGAGGCTCTAGGGGAGAATCCATTTCCTTACCGTTTCCAGCTTCTAGAGGCCACCTGTATTTCTTGGCTCATGGCCTCTTCCTCCATCTTCAAAGCCAGCAGAATGGCATCTTCAAATCAGACTCTGCCATGCCTGCTTTTCTCTTTTGGACCTGCTATTACATTCAGCCCACCCAGATAATTCAGGATAATATCCTCACCTCAAAATCCACATCTGCTAAGTCCCTCTTACCTCATAAAGTAATATATTCACAGGTTTAAGGGATTAGGGTGTGAATATCTTTGGGGGATTATCATTTTGCCTACCCCAACAGGACTAGTAATAATTCTACCAGGACAATACGAGTATACTGACTAGAAGCCAGGCCAGCTGGGATGTATGGACATGTGGTTCAGAAGCTGTGTCTGGACAATGACGACACATTCTCTGCCTACAGACACTATGCTCTGTTGAATTTCCTAACTGATTTTTAAAGTAGTTCAGGTATCTTGCTAGTATGTGATTTTAATAAAGAAAACACTAAGTCATGTGGAGAGAGAATAAATTGGAGTGGGAAAACTATTTCAACATCTGCCACATAAAGTGTGAATTAAGCAGCATGGTGTGTCCGAAACAGCATGGACTTCAGAGTCCAAGGAGCCTAGATTTAAACTGGCTTCTGTGTATGCTTTAAGTTATTTGGGCCAGTTACTTATTCTCTCTAAACTTCAAGGTGATGAGATTTGCCTTATGGAGCTTCACAGGGGATTAAGTTAGATAATGTATAAAAGGTGACCAGCAGTGATACAGTTCTCTGCTTAAACATATGTTTCAGGGTTAGTAATTCCTGTCTTATTTCATTTTTGGACTATTAACCTTATTTTATGATTTTGTAACTAGATGTACTGCTTAACAATTTTGTATGAGTTCTCTCCAACTTTTTTCCTGTTTGAAAAGGCAAGCCTGGGGTCTCATGCATAAAAATGTAGAAAACATTGTATTAGTCATTTTTGGCTGATTTCTTTGATTCCTTTATTGCTTACCATAGAATTTTTAGGTGACAACCAGAAATACAAAACATCTGAGGGTTGTTAAAGTAAAATGCCAAACAGTTCTTTCACTGTATGCCATCGCGTGCTGAACATTCTTCAGGAAAATAGCAGCTGACATGAAATATACAGAAAATTCCTTTTTGCCTGACATTTAAATGACGATGGCTTATTTCACACATTTACTATTAACATGTCAAGGCTTAATATTGCCACAAAATTGTTGTAATAAAGTTGAGAGTAATTTCATGAGAACATGTTATTTTCGTAACTTTATTAAAACAAACTAGAAACTAATAGACAAAAATGAACATCATAAGTACTCTCCAAGTCCCCTTTAAACACTTCACTTGGGCCATTGGTTTATATGGCTCTCCATGCTGAACAGGCTGAAGCCACAGACCATCCTGTTTGAAGAATATCTTAGGAAGATATGGGCTCCATAAAACTATTCTTGCATCAGGAAAGTGTTTTTTATCATACAAATAATTACTAAAAAAAAAAAGAGAGATTTCAAAATCAGTTATCCAAAAGTCAACTCCAACTATTCTAGGTAATGTGATTAATGTGAATTTTGTAGGATTTCATGTGCATGTTTTCATTAGAAAACATTCTGTGTGTCTTAGTCTCATATTTATACCAGATAATTTTTAAATAATTGCTTTGAGTTACAAAATAATCAGAAAAGTTTTTAAATGTCAGCAGCCTGTGCTGGCAATCCAGGTGACATCCTATGAGGACAGGTGTAGAGCTCCACAGTCCACCCTGACCCTCCCCGTCAGCTCCTAAAATTATATCTATCCCATATGTGCCAGCTTCTCTTACTGTTTTGTTGTGGTGGTTGTTATAAGAGATTTGGCAAACAAAGTTAAATAACTCTGGACCTGAGGTCATTATAATAATATATTATTATGTATTAAATTTAAAAGAATGATATCCAGACAATATTTATTTATTCTGTACCTGTTATGTGCCAGCCACTGTTTTGGTGCATAACTTTTTATTTATAAGTGAAGATGACAGAAACACCAAAAATCACCAGGCAGATTAATGCAAAGGATAAGGTTCCAAAACACTAAAACTTTAGTAGACAGCAGTATCAACTATCCTTAACATCTGAGTCCCAATGCCAGAGAGTTTACAGAGACTGGAAACTTTCATTAAGAGTGGAATCTTTCATTAGACATGAATCAGAATCCTGAGCCAAGCAACCCTGTTGATCCTCTGTGTCAGTGAGCAATCTCAGTAATGTCACTGCACTTGAAAACTAGGGCAGGCAGCCTCAACCTGTGGCAGCTGATGAGCATAATAAAAGCAATACTTCACTTCTTATTTTTTAAAATGCCCTCATAAGTAGCCTGTTAGGTTTCTTGTATGTAAAAATGACATCTTAAAAGGCTATGGATGTTAAGCTTATAGTGCCCAAATGTAATTAGAAATAGGAGATTTAAAAATTAATACTTAGCCTTTTATGACTTTACAATACTTTTTAAAGTATTGCTAGTGAGAAAAGAATTAGGGAAACTGGCATCTCTGAAGCCCAAAGTATTACACATGGAATACCAAGGTGGAAGAGCAATGAGCGTTTGACTTTGGCTTTCCCCTGCACTGTTAAGAGTACAGCCCCTTTTGAGGCTTCGTCTTGCTGAATAACTTAGGGTAAGTGTTGCTAGCTTCTAGCAGTGGGGAAGGGATGCATTTCCATGCAGCCATTCAGGAACCCAGGTGCCTTCCATTTTGTGGCTCTGCCATCCTCTAGTGCAGGAGTCAGAAAACCCTAACCTGTGAGCCACCCCCTATTTTAGTAAATAAAGTTCTATTGGAGCAGAGCCATGCCCATTTCTTCACATATTATCCATGGCTGCTTTTGTGCTACAATGGCAGTGTTGAGTAATTGTGACAGAGTATATGACCCATAAACCCAAAATAGTTACTACTGTCTAGCTCCTTAAGAAGTCTGCCCATGCCTGGGCTAGGCACTTGGAGTCCTCTGTGGGACTCCTTCTTAGACAGCCTGGAGACTTTCATGGCTGTGTTTAGAGTGGTGTGTCTACAGCCCCTCCCATTCTCTTGGCCAAAACTCAGTCACATGGCCACACCTAATAATTGCAAGGGAGGCTGGGAAATGTGGTCAATCTATGCAGGAAGAAAAGAAAATGGGTTTAGTGAACAAGTAGCTGGTCTCTGCTACACTAGCAATTTCCATTTCCCAGGAATATGAGAAGGATTAGAGAAGTTGGGAATAAATGGTGAGGCAAGCCCAGAATTATAGCCAGAAGCCAAAGTTCCTTGTACAAAAATCTATTCATGAACTCCACATCACAAAACAAATATTTTGAGCTCACGTCATCATGATAAGCTGTGAGGAAAGATTGAACGGGCTAGAGGTACTGCAGAAGTTTCAAACGGAAAGGATTGTGATTGGATTGGGGCATAACCAAGAAAAAAGCAGCTAGTTGTCTCCCAGGACAATGCCTGGAATGTGTTTGTCACCAAAATGAACAGCCTGGCCGTTCAGTCGTATTCACAAGATTGAATGGCAACAATCTTGCCCATTCAGTCTCCTAATTTTGTCAGCAGACCTGTGTGGATCCGTCTTCCATGGACCAGAATATTAATAAACCAAACTCATAGAAATCAGAGTATCAGTTTGCTAAGATGTAAAACAAAGATTGGCTCGAACATTAAAGGCTGAAGCAGAACCACTACTCTACACATCTCTAGGGGCCACCAAGGACTGAAGACTTTTTTTCAACTCTATATTTAAAGTGTTAAGAGTTGTGATTTACTCTCTTCCATGAAAGATGATTAACATTGTCCTCCCTCATTTCCTTGACTTTTACTGTACTGTTTTTATATTATCAATATTTTAATAGTTAACTTCTGTAAATATAACCCCTATGGTTTTTATACCATACTTCCACACTTACTACATTTGCTGTACCACCAGTCTCTGAAATATAGGTTCTTCTTTTCTGAATTTATTTTGATTAATCCCTTAGGAGGCTGGATTTCATCACTACTGGTATTGTCAAGAGGCAATACAGCTATGTATGGTTGTACAGGCTGCACACAGTGCAATTTGACCATTTGTAGAGAATATGTTCCCTATAATGCGAAAGCAGATGGTCATCAAGTGTCTTGATTCACTGCGGAAGTGCTATTGGGTTAGCAGTGAGTCTACCAGGAAATGTTCACAGGGGTTGCATTCCTAAGTCTTTACTTCTTTGAAAACATGTCTACTCTTTAAATTCAAAGGATAATTCTATCCTAAGTTGCATTTTTTTCTCAGAACTTATATATATATATATAAAAAATATATATATAATATATATAATATTATATAAGTTCTGAGAAATATATATTATATATATAAGTTCTGAGAAATATATATTATATATATAAGTTCTGAGAAATATATATATATAATATATATATAATATATATATATACACACATATATTTTTTTTCAGTTGAGCACTGCACCCTGATATGGTTTGGATGTTTGTTCCCTCAAAATCTCATGTTGAAATGTAATCTGCAATGTTGGAGGTGGGGCCTTGTGGGAGGTGTTTGGGTCATGAGGGCGGATTCCTCGTGAATGGCTTGGTGCCATCTTCATGGTAATGACTGCATGCTCTGTGAGTTCACATGAGATCTGGTTGTTTAAAAGAATCTGGGACTTCCTCCCTGCTCTCTTGCTCCCTCTCTCATCATGTGACATGCCTGCACCTCCTTCACCTTCTGCCAAGATTGTAAATTTCCTGAGGCCCCCACCAGAAGCAAAGCAAATGCTGGTGCCATGCTTATACAGCCTACAGAACCACAAGCCAAAATAAACCACTTTTATTTATAAATTATCCAGTCTCAGATATTCCTTTATAGCAATGCAAATGGACTAATACACAGCCAGTCCTTTTTCAATATCGTGAGTCACTGGATTTTATCATTTAAGGAGTTGTGTGACTTCCTTTTCAAAAATAGAGCTCACAAGTATTATATCTCAGGGTTCTCTTTGACAACATCTCTAATGTCTTTACATTCATAGGTCATCTTGACCTATGACCCATCCAACTCTCAGGAGTATAACCCCCTTGTGACCTTATTTCCCCTTGAACTAGAGGAGTTCAATTGCTCCTCTAGTCCATCACAAATCCCCAGATAATGGCAAGCCCCAGTGACTCTCTACCTCCCCAAGAATCTTAGGCAGTACATAATGGTTTCTATTCCTGACAATAGTTTCTTGACTGTTTCCTGAGTTCACCCAAACACCACTTCAATAAGTCCTCTCCGAATTGCAAAGTTTTCTGTTAATCTCCAGAGTCAGCCAACTCCACTTCTTTCCTCTGAATGACTTCTGGTAGGTAATGCTGGGTTAGCAACAATGCTGATTCATGCTGGAATCTCCTAGACTCTCCCTTGACTAACTTTTCAAAATTTATGCCATATGATTAAACCGCTTTTCTTATTTGGTTGCTACCAAAAATTTGGCTGGTTTTGACTTCAGAGTTCATTCCCTTAAGCACTGCTCTCCTCTGACTTCTTTACTCAGAAATACTTTTATTGTGCTGGGCATGGTGGCTCATGCCTGTAATCCCAGCACACTGGGAGGCCAAGGTGGGAAAATTGCTTGAGCCTAGGAGTTTGAGAACAGCCTGGGCAACATAGGGACACCTCATCTCTACAAACATATATATTTTTTAAATTAGCCGGGCATGGTGGCATGCACCTGTGGTCCCAGATACTCGGGATGCTAAGGTGGGAGGATCACTACAGCCTGGGGGGTCGAGGCTGCAGTGAGCCATGATCACACCACTGCACACTAGCCTAAGCAAACAGTGAGACCCTATCTCAAAAACAAACAAACAATAAAACCTTTTATTGGCATAGTCGCATGCATACTTTCATATATAAACATTTAAGCAAGAATTTGTGTCCATAGAGACAAATCTGAAAGGATGTTTATGAAAATGTAAACGTTTCCAAGGGCAGGCAGAATGGCAGCGTTGTCATGAGTTGTTACAGCCCAGCTGTGAATTCCAGCTCCACTTCCTACCAATGGGTCCATAAATTTGTTGTGCCATGGCTCAGTTTGGCAGTCAGATGAAGCCTAGAGATCTGTTTTAATAATGTTTTAAAATGTCTAAAATAAAATATATGGAATTGCAGAACCAACTATATTAAAATAACATTATCGGAATATTTTAAAATGTGATGATATAGTAATATACAAATCACAAGATCTAGAAGCAGATCTATTAACTACTGTCATTTCAAAGCAGTGATTAGCATAAGAGATATTTGGAGAGATGTGCAGCGATTGTAATGCGAAGTAAAAATATACACTGTGTATGATTTATGTTGGTGGAAAAGGCTAAAGTGCTTCTAATACCACTGAAGCTCAATGCCTACATTTGCAATTGAAGAATTGCTAAATGTCAGTTAGAGGTCAGTGAAAATAAGGTCCAGGTTTCTCATCCAGGCTCACAGACCCCACGAATTCTATACAGGGACCCCTGGTTAAGAATCCCTGAAACAACCAGTTACACAGCCTCGTGCAAAAGTTACATCTCTAAACTATAGTTTTCCCACCAAAGGGGGGTCATAATAGTACTTCTCTCATTAATTGTGAGGCATAAATGAAATAGTACATGTAAATCATTTACTGCAATATCCAGCACAGTGAATATTCAACAAATAATGCTGTTATTAAGGCTAGTAGAATTGTTAGTACAATCAGCCCTCTGTATCCATGGGTTCCATATCCATGGATTCAACCAACCATGGATTGAAAATAATTAAGGGGAAAAAATTACATCTGTACTGAACCTTATACAGACCATTTTTTTTCTTGTCATTATTCCCTAAAGAATACAAAATAACAACTATTTAGATAGCATCTGTATTGTAGTGGGTATATCGTAGTGGGTATTATATGTAATCTAGAGCCGATTTAAAGTATACAGGAAGTCATATGCAAATACTACACCATGTTATATGAGGGACTTGAGCATCTACAAATTTTGGTATCCAAGGAAGATTCTGGAACCAATTCCCCATGGATACTGAGTGATGGCTATACTTGTATTTCATGTTCTTCACACTTTTAAGTATTGCAGAACTTATGTATTGCTAAAACACTATATGAACATTTGTTACTTTTACCCATTTTTATAATCACAAAACAATAAAGTTATTTTCAGTTTGAAAACAAAGCTAGCAATCCCCTTGAATAAGAAGGAACTCTAAATAGGAATCTTTGCCATTGAAAAAATGGACAAAATTATAACAGACACTGGTTAGAAGATTAAAATGGTTTATGATCAGTTTTAATTGACAAATATGAACAAAAAAGTCTAAGTTTTTCATTGTTTCTGTTTTGACTATTGTTATATTTAAGAACTCTTCACTCATTAGATTGCTAAGTACTAACTTACAGTCATATGCCTGGTTTCCTTCTCATTTGAATTATTTTAGAATAAAATTTTATTTTTTAAATAAGTACATTATAACCATTCTGTGAGTCCTCAGCTTTAGCAATGTGACTGAATTTAATTAGAATGTACATGTTGGTGATCAGTTTCACACCCGCTTCCTTCTGGATGCTCATGAAACCAGACATTCCAGGTGCAGGAATGTAGCTGTGTTCCATTGCTCTGTGGAGGTTTCCGTAGTTATGAATTGTACTGGTGTTTCCTTTGTGTTCCAACCAATTCCATCTTTAAATGAAAGGACTGGCTTTATGTTGGAGGTCAGGACTAAGTTCCAGGATGACAGAGACCTCATAGGGCTCCTTCTCTGCTGGGTGCTGTGTCTCTGATGCTTACTGCAGAGCCTGGCACAGTAGGTGTTTGGTAATTATTTTTTTAATGAAGGTTTATTTTCACAGGAAACATTGAAGTTTAATCTTCCACTTTCTAGGCTGAACATTATCTAGAAATTTTCATGTTGGAAGCCAGAAAGCTTTTGATAAATGTCAACTCTATGTCTCAAGTTGATGAAACCAGCTGAAAAACAAAAATTCAGATCCCACACAATAGTGAGCCACTGTTTTGATTCATTCTTTGATTGAATTGATAGATTGCTTAGGGAACATCTCAAGGGAACATGGAAATCAGAAAATGAGTTCAATACCATCATAACTGTATGCAGTGTTAAGGGGGGGTATGAAGGAATGGAACTCACATTAAAGGCTTAACATTTGGTAAGAAATTTATTTGTAGAAAAAATAAATTTTAATATTATAGCTAATATTTAGATTTATTTTTCATATCATCCCACATTAAATTGTGAAATTAGTCATTATCACATACAATGTTTAGGCATCTATATTGGTAGCTATAGATATAGATATATTGGTAGGCCAGCAGTCAGCAAACTTTTCCATGAAGGGGCAGATTATAAATATTTTAGGCTTTGCAGGCCATACGGTCTCCATCACAACTACACAACTGCCGTGGACATGGCTGAGTTCCAATAAAACTTTATTCACAAAACCAGGTAGATGCCAGATTTGTTAGTTTTCTGACCCTTGATGTAGACTGTAACTGTCCTTGCAAGCTTTTCTTTAGTCTTTGGCACCAGGAAACAACCATTTCCTCAACAAAGTGTGTCATTAATAAAGCTGCTTAAAGGTTGAAGCTATACACAAAATGTTACAAATTTCTTTGCACTTCAAATGTGCAAACTTGTTTTCAAAGCCAATTGTAATTATTTCTACCCAGTTTTAAGTGAAGTGTCTGCCCCCTATTTGAGTTCTTGGTGGCATCTAACGCCGTATCTATTAGTTTTGTTATAAGGATATCTGTAGCATACACACAATGCTGTGAAATATCTTCAGTTTAATAGTTTATGGTTTTCACTACTTACGAGGAATGAGTGGGTACCAATGCAAACCAGTAGCCCTGAGCTAAGATGTGTGAGAGAAGGAATGTTAAAGCAGTAGCTTATAAAGAACAGTCAACTATTTGGGAAGGAAACGCATGGGAGACAGGGAGAGCATTCTAAACTGATTTCACACATATAGTGCACCCCAGGAGGAACCATTTCAGGAAGTAACAATAATATTATCAAATTAACTTTTCCCAGAATCATATATCCAGAGAAAAGAGACTGGTATACACACAGGCTAATTTTACAACAAAGAAGTCCTTTTCAAGTTACAGGTCTTTTTACAGCTTGGTGATGTCTCACCATGCCCATCTTCCTCAAAAATACATAGACACATATAGATGGTTATGAATATATTGGTTCATGAATGTCAAACTTAGGGGACACCTCTAGATTTTGAGGGCAAAAATTTGCTTACATAATAATAGCATAACTCAAAGTTCACTTTGTTTTCAAGTCTTAAGACATTAGACAATTTAATTTTTATGATATTAATAGGTATAAAGTTTAATTTTAAAAAGGAAAAAGAAACTAGCAATGTTATTGAATGTCTCAGTTACATTTTTTCCTACTACCCCATGGATTTCAAGGAATATACAGTACTGTGAAAATTCAATAATAATGACATTGTTAAGTTTTAGTATGGAATACTTTGAGCCCAGTGCCCATACTTCTCCATGATACTCTGGAATTTAAAGGTGAATATTGAAGGCTATTTGCGAGAAGGTAGCAACTGTTTATCAGGAAACAAACAGCTTATTTAGAAAAAAAAAAAAACATTAAACCCATAATATGATTTCTTTTTTGACAGCTGCCATTTCATAATATTCTTTACAAATAACTTACTCATCTACTTATTTCATTTTTTTGTCTTTCTTGCCACCACCAGGTACATGAAAGAGAAAGAAATATAGAATTCCAATACTGATGCAAGGGAGCTCATTTTTCATTTTGTCAAGGGGTTTCCTCCTTCCCACAGCCATGATAGTATTTCCTGATGATTGTTCATTGCTATAAATTGAAAAAGAACAGCTTCCAAGTTTATCAATAATCCATTAAGGGTGTTCCAACAGAAGTTGAATTAAAGTTGAGTCCTTCCCCTATGCAAAAGAAAGATAGATTGCCCTTAGAAGCTTGAGTATAGGGAATGGAAGAAACAAAAAGAATTACTACTTTGTAATGCAGCTAACAAAGTAATTAGGAGAGAGGGAAGAGAATTGGGCCAAGGGCCAAGGCCTTTGGGCACTGTGTAAGCTGTCACTACAAGATCTGAGACCTAGGTGTACTGCTAAACCTCCTAGTAGTACCTACTAAACCTCCTCACACCTCCACCTTCCTTAGCATCAAGATGCTTATCATGGTACTCTATGCTTATCGTGGTACTCTATGCTTCTCTGAGGGGTTGGTGTTTTAAAAATGAAATGATATATACAAAAATACTTCGGAAGCAGTAGACTACAGCTTTGTTTGCTAAGATGATCATACCTAATTTAGAGTTGTTACTCATTATGCTTTCCTGAATATTGTTTTCTTAGAATAAGAGAGAGCAAGCTCTCTGGTGTCTCTGCTTAAAAGGACACCAATCCTATTGGACCATGGTCCCACCCTTATGATTTCATTTAACCTTAATTACTTCCTTAAAGGCCCTGTCTCCAAGTACAACCATATTAGGGGTTAGGCTTCAACATATGAATTTTGGAGAGACACAATGTAGTCCATAGCATCAAGGATAATCTCTCATCTCAAGATACTCAATTTAAGCACATCTGCAAACACTCTTTTTCCAAATATTGTAATGTGTATAGGCTCCAGGGATTAAGATGTGGATGTCTTTTGGTGGACTATTTTTCAGCCTACCACACCAAGGAAGTAAAGTGAATTGCTAGAGTTACTCATATATGCTCATGGGTGCTCAAACATGATTTGTGCCAATGCAGAGTAGTTGCTCAAAATTGATAAACAATGTAAACAGAATAGAAAATTATGAGGATTCCTGTGACTTATGTAATTATGCATTATTAAAAATATCTCACTTGGGAAGCTGAGGCAGGACTGCTTGAGAACAAGAGTTTGAGGCTATAGTGTGTGATGATCTCACTTGTGAATAGCCACTGCATTCCAGCTTGGGCAACATAGTAAGACTTCATCTCTTAAAAAAAAAAAAAAGAAGAAGAAAAGAAAAGAAGAAGAAAGAAAGAAGGAAAAGAAATCTTGAAATAAACAGGTCCAAACATGGAGTCTATAAGCCAGAGGTTGATTATTTGCACTGATGAAAATGCCTTCTATTCCAGATGGGTTGATTGTTCTGTTCTTTTTTTAAATAGCCAGTTCCATAAATGCATTTGCAATTCAAATTGATTTGTGGTGAACTTTTCAGAAAGGCATCTGAGGAAGATTTTTATACCAATCTTGGCTTTAGAATTTACTCTTCGTGATGTAAGGATAACAATCACTGACATTTGTTTAACATTTAGTATGTGGCAAGCACTATACCAAGAGTTTTATATCTCATCTCATTCGATGCTCACAATGATTTCATATAGCAGGTGCTATTATTGTCCTTAGTTAACTGATGAGTGGCCTGAGGCTTGGAGATGTAGGGAACTTGTCCAAGACACAGCAAGGAAGAGGCAAACAGGCATGTAAATCCCATGATTTTGATTCTAGAGCTCATATCATGAAACACCACTTGATATTCCCTGAAAAATATCATTAAACATTGCACTTCTAAAACTTACACAGAGAGAAATTGTTACAAGTTTACATCACAGTCAAAGATCTTTAGTGTCACAGATTGTCATTATATTAGCAGAGAAACAGAATCAACAGGAATGTGTGTGTGTGTGTGTGTGTGTGTGTGTGTGTGTGTGTGTGTGTTCAGAGAGAAAGAGAGATTGATTGATTTTAAGGAATTGATTCAGGCCATTGAGGGCTGACAAGTCCAAAATCTACAAGGAAGACCCAGCGGGATAGAAATCCAGGAAAAAAGTTGTCTGAAGGCAATCTGGAGGTACAGTTTCCTCTTCCTGGGGGGCCCTCAGTCTTTTTTTTCAAGACCTTCAACTGATTGGGTGAGGCTCACCCCACCCACATTATGGAAAGTGATCTGTTTTACTCAAAGTCTACTGACTTAAATGTCAATCTCATTTTTAAAATACCTTCACAGAAACATCTGTTTTGTCCAATACCTAGGTACTGTGTCCCAGCCAAGTTGACTCATAAAATTAACCATCACAAGTCCATCCCTTTTCAACTTGGCATCAATTTCACATGTCTTTTAAATAATACTTAATATCTAAATAAAGACAATAATAATAAGGTGCTATTTTTGCCTAACATGATATGACTATCCTGCATACAATTAGAAAACACACTAACCCTTGCCTTACAAGCAGATGCAAAGTCCTTAGATGATGATGTTCACCCTTTTCCTTCATATCCTTTAATATTATGATATAAAGTCAATATTATATAATGTTATCTTGTGTTATATAATAAAGAGACAAGGGTAGGAAGAAAACAAATATATTTGCTATATATACACACACAGAAGTGTGTTCATAACAAGGAAGAACTATTTATGACAATTACGGTCCTCGTTTCTGTAACTGGTCACATGGTTGCAGCTGGTATGTTCTTCCACTGTGGTTTCTGTATTCCCTGGTCATGGTTATTTACCTCGTGGAGTGACTCTAAACCTTCATTTCTGAAGGGTCAAGTACACTAATAGTACTGCCTGGATTGATTTATTGTAGTTTCTATTGACTTTTATCATAGGTCATGATAATCCTAAGAGATGCCCTAAAGGACCTCCTCCTGTATGCCAGACAGGCTCTTCCTTACTTCCCTGGTAAAGTAATAGTCCAGTTTCCCCTCGGTAATTAAGTTCAGCCACACAGCCAGAACTAAACTCCCTTCTTTGCCTATTGTTTCAGAAGCATGAGGAGCCCAAAATGGCCAGGTGGCAGCCTTAACTTTCAGTGCATGGAACCTTTGTTCTGTCTTCCGGCAGAAGCGTTCTTCTCTCTGACCTTAAATTTTTAAGATCAACAGAGCAAAGGTTGCAGTGACAGGAAGCATAAATTTTGCTAGTGGCTAACAGGGCTAATAGAAAATGATGACATTTCCATTTCCACCCCTTGATTCCATTGTAATGGGGCAGAAGTCTCTGGGATCTGTTGAGCTGCTACACTACCACTTCTACAAACTCAGTATTTTTCCCTGGCTTTAAAATTCAGTCTCTTACAAAATTGCTGTAGCCCAGCATGTACCTCTGTGTTTTGCAGAGGGAAAGTAGATGTCTTGTGATGCAAAAGTCCAAACGGAATGAAGGCCACTGCTCAGTGTGCCTCCCACACAAATGTAATGTCTTTTTGACTACTGATAATAAGAACGATGCATGGGAAGGTGACATAAATGAGCCATTGAATGGCCTTTGTTGTAACTGAGCCTATAATTAAACATTCCCACAGAGTAAGCCCCTCTGTTCCACTTCTGGCTTGGCTATTACGGCCTCTCTTTTTTATTGGAATGCAGAAAATAGAAATCTGTGTGAACAAGGATTTCTATCAGTTCATCAGACCAAGTGAAACTGTCTGTTTGTCATATAGAAGATAATGGCAGAAATCCATTTTTAGCTCCCGATTGCTGTATTCATGTGTGAAATTACCCACAGGGGAAGATATTTGCCTATAAAAGAGCTCTTATTGGCCTTAGATGTGATTGGCTGCACAAATTATACTGCCAAATGAATTGGTTTTGCAAACTAAACAGAAGGCCTCATAAACCAAACTGGGATAGCAGCTCAGAGCACAGCCTTGCCCTGGGTGATAGTGTAGGCACACAGAGGCCAAGGGCCATGGTTGCTACTTCTCTTTGCTTTAACAACACAATGCTTGGAGAATAAATCATTTCCCAAGTATTTAAATCTTAGCAATGATTTGGTTTTCTGATACGAATACAGAATCCATTTGGCATTCTGACTAAGGCACTCGTTTGTTTATTTTTGTCTTGATTAAATTAACATGAATTGAGATTCAAATTCTCAAATTGGAGAAAGAAGGAGAGGCAGGGGTTTGTGGGGGTCATTATTCTTACTCTCTAAAGACAACTGATTTTGGTATTTGTCAGTAGATTCTGTAGCTTTCCCATGTTTAATATTTTGCATTGAATGACCTAGAAGAGCAAAATATCACAATATTTAACCAGAAAGATTTAGTCCTTTTTTTTTCCTAACAGAAAAGGAAATAAGGAAAAAAAGAAAAAGAGGAGAAATAAGGGACATGAGAAAGGAGACAGAGCAATAATTGAGGAGTTTGAAAGTATCTGAAAAAGCTCTGGTCTCTTCTGGCAATTTATTTCCAGTTCAGTAAACTCAGAAGCCGAACTTTTGCATTTTTAATGCACTTCATAATAATAAAAATGATCTTGTTGGTCTAGTGCAGAGCCAAAATTAGGAGGTCAGGCATCAACTTGTTTGTGTTCGTTTTTCCATGGAGCCAGGTTCGTCTAGTTGTCTTGGCCTGAATAGCAATTGGCTCGGGCCCAGTGGCAATAGATCAGGACCTGGCAGAGCTTTTCGTCCCAGGGTCTTACCGTTACAGGCCACAGCTTACAGCACGCTCAGCACTAACCAACATCCTTTCGTCCTGCACCAAGCAATTGTACCCAAGCTCCAGGTATGATCCTCAGCCCTCTGAGAAGCACAGGACTGCCAAGAGTTGAGCTGTATTGTCAATGCTGAATTGTCCTCTCCCTCCCTATAAGGACACGCAGAGGGTTGGCTTCATTTCTTCGAAGACAGTTGCCGAAAGGTCCACCCTTTAATTCACATATAAAGTGGGACTCCCCTTTTAGTTATTCTTCACTATAGCAGCATTACATTGAATGAATGATTTACTCTTAATTCACGTTACTTTCATTTAGTCACTGATGGATCTTTAAAACTACTCTGGTACCCAGGACTGCCAAACTGGTAATCTTCTTCCAATTTAAACAGAATTGGGCTCATTTATTCCTTCTTGATCTAGAAGTTATGGTTAGCGTGCAAGTTGATTTATTTTCATGTGTGCGTTTTATTTCACAGAGTAGGGAAGTAAAGGACACTTTGTCTTACATGGCAAAGAATAAGCAGTACAGTTTTCACAAACTTAATTAAAAGTCTCATTTTTCCCAGGAATAATGTGCCTGTTGAAATTAACAGACCAGTCGCTCTACATGGAAATTCTCCCTACTAGCTCCGAAACCCACATTTTCTGGGCTGTGCTACATAACCTTGAGAATGGCCAATCACTGCCAGGTATTTTCCTGCTTACCCATGGTTGCATTGATTTTGAAGCAACTGTTAAATTTGCAGATTCCAAGACTCTACCCTTATAGATGTTTTCTGCCAAAGAGTTAAAAATATGGGAAAGTTTAATTACATCTGTGTCTTTTTAAAATAAACTGAATAACAACTAGAAAGGACATGGTTATTATGGTCACCTGATGGCCACATATCCTTCATATATGCGAAATACCTTTTCATCAGAAGTCATGTCTAATAACACTTAGAAATATCCTTGTATTCATTTCTGTGCAGCCCCTTATGCAGTTCATGGACCAGTTTCAACTCTTGCCATTATCATGTTTCCAAGTAGTACATCTGTTTCAATGGCAGGCTTATATCCAATAGAGCCCCAAAAGGTAACATGTCTTTTGAAGTTTAACAATAATAGCACCCTTGAGCTACGGTGTGAAATATTTGGTGTTTGCTTCCTCCACTCATCATAGATAGCCTTGGGAACATCTGAGGGCTTGAAAGCATTGGCCTTAGCTCATGTGTGGTACATGAGAAGCCATCAGGGGCAGTGTTCTCTCAGGCTACTCACAGTGCTCAAGGAAAACAAGCATTCATTATACGAATGCAATTTCAGAAGGCAGATGGTATCAGGTCACCAGAAGGGGCCTGTAGATGTGTGTGTGTGTGTGTGTGTGTGTGTGTGTGTGCGTGTGTGTATTTTTTTTTAAGAGACAGCTTACCCAGGTGTAGTGTAGTGGCAGGACCATAGCTCACTGCAGCCTCAAACTCCTGCCTCAGCCTCCTGAGTAGCTAGGACTACAGGCATGCATTACCACACCAGGCTAGGAGCCTTTAAAAGCTGTATTACACAGAGACATATGCTTAAAGGGACTCTTTAAGGTACACTTCCCAGGGAAAAAGGAAAAAACCAGGCCCACCATATAGAAGTACTTGGTACATGCATTCAATAAAAGTAGAGCTGAAACCCAGAGTCCACTTTGTGCCTCTCTAGGGATCACCCATGTTCTCCTCTGCTGACCTCTGCCATGTTTTCAGTCAAGCTAGAAAAAGAAAGTTGCCCTTGAAGCATTGCCCTCTTCTTCACATAGTCTAGTTGATGTATTTATAAATGTACTTTGAAATGACTTTCAAACCACATGGTTTTCTACTTGTATAGATTTAAGTCCATTGAAGTCATTAGTTTGTTAAAATTCAACTTAGAAGTTAAATGCCAAAAATAAAATGAAAATTTGGTCTGTGATGTGCTGAATGCCACATCAACCAAATAGCAATCAAACTGACAGGCCAGCTTTCTAAGAGCTAGGTTTAACTCTGTCTGGAAGTTAAAGAGCTTTGTACAGGCTTATTATCCATCCTCCAAGCCACCTCGTCCTGTATAATAGCTTGTGTCTCAGTCAGATTGTTTTAAGCAGCACTCGGGGATTTTCATTATGTGCAGTGAGTGCCTTCTGACCTGTGTTCTCAAAGAGATTCATGAAGGTAGAAAAAGACAGCAGCAAAGTAAGCAGTGTCTGCAGTATGATCCTGTTAATATAGGATGTATCCTTTCTCAGATTCTTAGAGCTTCCAGTTAGATAAAATGCAGGAAAAACTATGTCTGCGGCACAGAACAAACAGCATATTCTGATGGCTACAGTTTGCAAAGGAGAAGACCTCCAAGTACACTTTGGACAGCAAGCAGCCCCTGCTCTCCAATGGAGACAGCCACCTTCTGCCTGAGCTTCCCTTACCTGTAACTCAGAGACAGCTTTCAGTCCTCATATAGCATTCCAGAGAAGTTCCTGATGTCTTTCCTTGGGGAGATAGAAATAAGTATTTCTTTGCAGTTAGTAAGTAGCCTAGATTGTACAATACTTTTGTCTGGTTGATTGGTTTTTTAAATGAATGTTCTACAAGATAAGTGCACCATCCAGAATAGGGGATCATTCTATTAGCCCTGATTCAATTTTCTTTTTCTTAATTAAACTAAAAAGAAGGAAAAATAAAACTTTTTTTACTTTTTTTTTAAAAAAATAAAACCTTTCTGTCAACATTTATAACATTCAGCATTTATCCTGATTAATCATAATGCTTGCTTGACTGCTGTCTTTTTGGACTTGTATTTAAAATGAAAACTTTCTCTACCATTTATTAATAAAGCCTCTTGGGTGACTTCCAAGATACTTCCACCATATAAAATCCCATGCTATCTATCTTTGGAGCTATTTTTTGACTGAATTCCATATGAATTAAATAGAAGTGCATTAAAAATAAACTATGTGTTATTATGCTAAAGCTGTGTCCCAAGAAAACAATTCTGTAAGGAATTTCTCGCTCAACCTGATGGTTCCATGTCCAAAAAAGGGATGATCCTTTAAGCAGTACATTACAATAGCGAGGGCATTAGATTTACAAAATTTAACAGTATATTCTTTGTCATATTGATCAAGTCTAAAATCATAAATGGAGAGGAATCCAATCCTTCTACCTGGATACTCTGTATCCAATCCTTTCCTGTCTCTACCACTACATTATTTCAATTGCCAAATCCTGCCCACCCCAAGTTTATGACATCTCCAATGCCAATCCACTGATCAGCAGCCCTGAGTCTTCTATCCAGACTCTAGCTTTCTTCATTGTCTCTTCCAATTCATTGTCCTATCATACTCCTCTGAATGACCCCAGGTTTGAAGATGATTTTTGGAGTCAATGATTGTAGATTCATACTATGACTTCCTTCTTAATGGGTTTTTGTTGAGCATTTTATGTAGTAGAAAGGCACTGCATTATCTAGTTTAAAGCTAAAAAGTTTGAACTACTCCACTGGTACAGGCTGATTTTTTATTATGTTTCTTTCTTTAGTCTGAAACTTCCCCATTATTCATTCAAGATAAAAAAAAAATAGCAGATAATACTTAGTAGATGTCTACATGGTGCCAGGCTCTGTACTTGACATTGGTCAGACAAAACACAACCTCATAATCAGGAGACTATTGAAAAAAGACAATTTAGGCCAGGCGCGATGGCCCACGCCTGTAATCCTAACACTTTGGGAGGCCAAGGCAGGTGGATGGCTTAAGCCCAAGAATTCGAGACCAGCCTGAGCAACATGGCAAAATTCTTGTCTCTACAAAAAATACAAAAATTAGCCACGCATGGTGGCAGGCGCCTGTAGTTCCAGCTACTTGGGAAGCTGAGGTGGGAGGATCACATGATTCTGGAAGATTGATGCTGCGGTAAACCATGATTGTGCCACTGCATCCAGCCTAGGGTGACAGAGGTGAAACCCTGTCTCAAGAAAAAAAAGAAAAAAAGAAAATGTAATCAATGACTATATCAGATTATTATAAAATATATCAGTATTACTATGATAAAATAAGTGCTATAGTAATAACAAAAACAATAATAAGAATGAAGCTAATGTGAATTGAATGTTTACAGCAAGATAGGAACTATAAGTGTTCTACATGCCTTATCTAATTTAATATTTTAACCACCCTATAGTAGGTGTGCTTTACTGAGAAGGAAGCCTGGACCTGGAAAGGTTAAGAAATGTGTCCAGAATTGCAGCTAGAATGTGGCAGAGCTGAGATTTGAAGCCAGCTTGGTGGTTAGAATGCAGTGATAACTATAAAGCGCTCATTCTTCATCTCTCTACCTCCATATGCTGTAGTAGAGGCAGGTTCACACCTAAGATGCTTTGCTTGAAACTAGAGACGTATGGGTGGAGTTTTGAAAGTGAAAGTAATTAATAAAATATTTGAAATGATGGTAATGTTAGGAACAGACCTATTTCATTCACCGAAGTTTAAGGTAAAGGGTGAAGCTCCTGAATGTAGAATTTCAGGAAGCAAGTTTGAGTGTAAATAGGTTTTCTGAGATCATACACAACTGTACTGTTAGTGGTCTTCTTTTTATACCATTTTATTTTACAAATTTATGAATCAAAGAATGAGGCACATTCATTTTCATTGGGAAAAGTGAATTATGTCAAGTTAATTAAGTGAAGCTGTTACAAGCTGAGTCTAGTACATAAATCCATCTGAAGTAGGGTTATCATATGGTTTCAATGTGAAAAATAAAGGAATTGAGGGACAGGGTGTGGAGTGCTCTAGAAAGAAAATCAGAAAAGCATCTTTAGTCTTAGCTCCCTCACTACTGCAAAAAGAAAGAAAGAAAAAAACGCTGTAGCAGGGACGTTTAGCCGCAGGGATACCTTTTTTTATGAGCCATTTTCAAGACTCCCTTTCCTATTATTGAACTACAGTTAGAGCCATCTTTTAGCTTTGTACTATAGCCTTGTAACTTACTTCATAGAATCTCTGGGTCATTTTCCTGTTTTCCTTTCTTCCAACTTCCAATTAATTTTTGTCTTTTTAGCAGTTTTTAGTTCTTTCAGTATTAGCATTAAGGACAATAAAATTGATCCTTTTTTCCCCATGGACGCAGGATGTGGTCAAGACTGGGATATTAACTATTGACTGAAATGAGATTTGGCATGCTGTAAGTGCATTGTGTTGTTTTTGTCTATCTGTACCTGTTCGGCCACTGAGACAATTAAGTCCTAAATGGTAGGCATCAACATATTTTTCATTTCTCTTTCTCCAGTGCATAGTTCAATGTCTGATATAGAGAAGGCATATAAGAAACTATTCATTTAGTGAAGGAGTGAATGAAGGAATGAATGAACGAAACACCAGAAATGGCAATACTCATATTGTTACCATACTCTTTCCCCAGTAACTACTGAAGTAACTACTTCCAGTGTAACTATTCAAGAAGGTCCAGGAGTCATAATTTTCCAAAAACATATGTAAATTCTTGCGACTTGTGTAAACCAGTATTTTCTCTCCCTCTCCCCGCAAACTCTATGAATTGTCAAGCAAGTAGATTAGGAAGCAGAATGTTGTATATACAGTCCTGCTTGGTTTTGTTTACAGATTAGTGGGGCAGGAATGGAATGTTGTACTATTTCTTTCTGTTCAAGGATAATCTAATCTTGCAAAGATATTTACCAAAGTCAGTAACAATTCCTCTTAGGAAGACAAATAGTGTCTGAATTGGATTAAGGTGAAATGAGAGTGCCCTGATGCAGCTGTCAGTGAGCGGTTCATTGTTTATGGCTTCATTACAACCCTAAAGGGGATATCTGTATTTCTCTAGGTTTAATGAAGCCACAAACAACCAACTTTTTATTGACTGATACTGGAGATTTTTTGCTTTTAACTTGATGCATTTTAATTTGTGCTTAACTAGTTCTCGCACCATACCAGATCCTCAGATTGGCACTTTAGAGATGATTAGCTAAGTGTTCCTCTGTGTTAGCCACAGGGTCTAGGAAAGATAAGGAGAATCAATAGGACCAAGCCAGTTTATGATGAGAAAATTCATTCTCCATCAACGGTGTTGGCCAACTCATCATGCTGCCTGTTCTGAGAAGAAGCAGCTCTGCTCATGTTTCTGTGTGCCTCATTAATGTGTCAGTGGTTCTGCCCTGGCTGTCAAATGACTTTACTGTTGTGTTTTTTTAGTTTTCAGGACTTTATCTCCTGTCTTTCTTCACCATCCTCATTGGGCTGGTGCTCTACTCCTCCACCTCCACCTACATAGCCCAGGACCCCCGAGTGTATAAGCAGTTCCGCAATCCTTCAGGACCTGTTGTGGACTTACCGACCACAGCTCAGGTGGAACCCTCAGTCACCTACACCAGCCTGGGCCAGGAGACCGAAGAGGAGCCTCATGTTCGTGTGGCCTAGGGTGAGGCCCGCCCTGCCAACTGAGGCCAACTCATTGGCCATGTTTTTGCCCATCATCTCTGTATTGTACATAGAGAAAGGTATTTACTAGGTGCAGTTTACACAGGTGGACTGCAAGGTAGCAAATCCTCCAAAAGCTTGTGAAAGGAACAAGCTCAACATCACTGGAGACACAGGCTCTAATCCACCTGACTTGGAAGGATGCCTAGCTAACGTGTATCCTGATCACAACTCCCCTGCATTCATTACTGTGAAAATTTTTGAATCAAAAGCAAGTATTATTGTTATTATGATTTGTATTATTATTATTGCTGTTACTGTTATTACACCAACTTTCAGGAGGATGTTTTGTACTCCTGATGGAAACTATTGCCAGACCCACATGTAGTCAACATAAACCCCACTTTTCTATGGCAATTCACTTTTTAAGAGTCATACTTTATTTTTTTGCACAGACTATATGAGTGATGCATGCCACAGGAGCTCCACCCCTGAGAAGTTTCCTTTTCCTAGGGACCTGGTGGTTAATGGTTTCCTCTGTTACCTGTTGGATTGCCTGCTCAATAAGTATTTTGTGCTGTGACCTTTGTGGGGAGGGGCAACTGACCATATACTTCTCTATTCTAGGAATAGATATAAAAGAAACATTTTAGCCTTTTTATATTTCGATCTCTGATTACTCCAGGCCATTGCCTTTCTGTTGTGCCACGTGATTCTGCTAATCAAGTCCCTGTAATAACAGGATAAGGACTGTTCCATTACTGTGGCTTTTGGGAGCCCCCAGAAATAATATCATTTGTGTTTAGGACAATATATAATTATAAAATCTTTCTGCTCCTCCCTGTAGCCTCTCTTCAAAAACTATCTTTTATTTTTTTTCCAGATTTCCTTAGTGATAATATGGAAATTAATCAAGGCACTGGAAAAAGCCATGGTCCTCTGCCCTTTTAATTCTGTGACACCTTTTTAAAAATACACCAGCATGGAAATTACCTTTATTGTGGAAAATCATTGGTTGTGCCACCTCCTAACAAAGTCAAGGTGCTGATGTGGAGCAGTCTTTGAAAATGGCTTAATTGATTTGGCCACTTTGCAGTGGTAACAATGTCATCATTGAAAAAGTCTGGCATTTTGGTCATATTTGGCATCCATTCAATAACAGATATATTGACACGACATTCTTTTTTTTTTTTTTTTTTTTTTTTGAGACGGAGTCTCACTCTGTCGCCCAGGCTGGAGTGCGGTGGCACGATCTCAGCTCACTGCAACCTCCGCCTCCGGGATTCACACCATTCTCCTGCCTCAGCCTCCCGAGTAGCTGGGACTACAGGCACCTGCCACGACGCCCAGCTAATTTTTTGTATTTTTAGTAGAGATGGGGTTTCACCGTGTTAGCCAGGATGGTCTCGATCTCCTGACCTCGTGATCCGCCCACCTTGGCCTCCCGAAGTGCTGGGATTACAGGCGTGAGCCACTGCGCCCGGCCGACACGACATTCTTATGGACCCAGAGAATACTGCAGGATCCTGATAAGACCTTGAGTGATATGTCACTAGTCTAATCTGTTGCCCTTAAAATAGCCCTTTTTTCAAACACAGGAAATTAAGAAACACCACAGACCTCTATTATTTAGAATAGATTCTATGTGTCAGTATGTGATGTACTCTTTTAGTTTGACTGACTTCAATACCATTCAAAAAGATCCTCAATGGAGTTACAGGGTTTATAGGGGAAAAATACATGTTTATGAGACATTGGGCAATTCAAATCAACATGTGTTACATAAGCAAGCAAAGCAAAACACCAGTGGGGTCTCTGGAAAGTAAAAGGACAGACTACAGTAGAAGGACTGATCCCAGAGTGCCTGTACAAGGCCTAAATCTGGCAGGCAAAAGCATCCCACACTGTCTGTCAGCACCCACATGGCCTTTTTGCCTGCCTTCTATAACGGGTAAGTGGACCTACCCTTGGAGATAGAGAAGAAAAATTATCTTCTCTGATATTCGGATGTAATGGTCATCTCAGTTCAGCCCCCTAGGAAACATGTTTTATTTTCCATGGGGAAAATATCAGCGTTAAAGCTCTATCAAATCAAAACAACTTTGCCAACATCTTCTCTCTGCTACCTTTTAAACCAATTAAATACCTTTCTCTGAATATTTTGTCCATTCAGATCCGAAGACCTTTAAAGACTGTGGTTTTATTTTTGTGTTTACATTCCTTTGGTTTGAATAATTTGCTTGATTTATTGCATTTTTAGTATTTATTTTAAGCCAGATGTTTTCATCTTTGATTCATTTTTATGACATTAATTTGTAGACACTTAGTAAAGTCTTATGAGAAGCAAGTGGATGAAATTATCTCCAAGTCCACTCAGTAGACTGGAGTTTTTTAAAAATATAAATTTCCAAAAAGTTTGCAATCAACAGATGGCTAAAGGTTGCCATCTGAATTATTTTATAGGATATTTTAATTGACTCCATTGTATGGAAACCAAGTGTGAATGTTAAGATGAATTTGCCGTATACCCTTTATCATTCGGTGTCCTTGTACTCAGACTTTCATGTCCCTGGGTGACCTCAATGTGTTGGTTTGTCTCCATTTAGAAAGGTTGATAATATATTGAATTGTTCAAGATCAGGAGTTCCAGACTGACCCTCCAGGAAAAAAAAAATCGCAAAGAACAAATTCTTTTTCTGTGTAAAAAACACTGATCCTTTGGGAATGGGGCGGGAAATGGGAGTAGGACAACATTAACTTTAGCTGTTTTAGTTTCTGAGATTTCATAACCTCAGTAGACACCAGCAAAATTTTCAGTTTCTAACTCCACCACCAATCTCTCCTCAATGAATAAGACTTTAGCAATTTATATAGAATTTGATCAGGTAAGAGCGAACCACAATTCTCCTGAACCCTGCTAGAGATTAAGTGGTGGTTCTCACTTCCTCAATGAAAACTTGCACTGGGGACAGCGCTTGCCTTGGTCAGACCTTCCCACATCTACATACTCTCAAATACATGACCAGGTGATCAAGCAATGGAAAAATTTGCACCACCGTGTCCCATGAAATTGTTTCAATGTTTAGTTTAGATATTGCTAACTTGTGCTATTAACCTTTTGACAAGCGTGTAGTATTGTTTGTTTTGGGTTTCTTTTTGATTTATAACTATTTAGTAGTCCCCAGCTAGCTACCAGTACAGATTTTACCCCATGGGTAGGATTCTATTGTTAAGCCACATAACAAAGCACACTAATTCTGACAACACTGCAAATGGAAAATACGAACCAAAAAAAAGTTACACCGATAAGTTCAACAAACTGTCCATTTTTGATATTTGCATGCTCCCCTATGGACTGGCTGTGGCAATGTAATGCCTGTATAATGTTTTCAAATAAAAATAAATGCTTTATGAAAGCACCGAATTCTTGGTTTTCTTTTGTGTTTGTCTGCACTATGACAACCGTGGAAGCAGCTCCCTTGGGATACTAGAAATAGCAACAAAAGTAGATGGCTGGGTACATGTCGAAATAAAAACCAGAAAGAAAATATTTCCAAATTAGGAAGGGCACAATTGGTCTCAGAAGTATAGTTTCAAAAGCCAAATTAAACATGTTCATAGTTTGCAAAGTTAATTATTTATCTGGGTACATAAGAACACTCTGGGGCTTCAAGCCCACATTTAAAACACATGTAAGACAATATAAATTTACCCCCAAGGAAAAGTTTCTCATAAAGAAGAAAGTTCTGTGTATGCTGGCCTTGGCACACAACAGACTTAACGGATGAGCATTCTTCCAGAGTGCAATGTTTATAAAGCAGAGATTGCTCAGATTTCTGCTCAGAACTTACACAGCATCTTATAATCATCCCTCCTCTACTAACTGCTGTCACTCCCCATAAGTACCTAGATTATAAATCTATCCCCATAAGTACCTAGATTATAAATACATTTACATGTTCTTGTCAGTTTTTGCAATCAGACCTCAAAAATTAAATGAGCCAAGAAGACTGTGTGTCTGAGTTATATATTAAGAATAATGTTTAAAGAAAAACATTCATTTTTCAGGAAAAAAGGAATTGTAGGACACTAAGTGCTTTATAAAGTGCTCTCAGGTTGAGATCCATCATGAGCTGCTTTTATAAATAGTTGGAATAGCATGTACTTAACATAAGTAATTTGCTTGAGAAATGTGACTCTCAGTTTAAATCAGTTTTTTTCCTTGAAAAAAATGTCAATCTTTCTCTAAAGTATTGTTTACTTCCATTTAGTAAGCTCTTTGATCAAAGATGAAATAAAGTTGAACTTCAGCCCAGCCTCTGTCCAAATGTGCAGCAATTCCAATTGATTGGGGCTCAGATTGTATATACAATAAATGTATGTCATGTTTCCCCAATGAATTAAGATTTGTTTTCTTAAGAGAAAGAACCGGGTTTCCTAAAGAACTTGAAAGTCCTTGCAATGGTAAGAGAAGGAAGCACTTGAGTGATTCTCATGACTATTAGCATGAGAGAAAAATAGAAACAAGTAAAATTCAGCAGGAAGGCTGTAATTTATTATATTGTCTTAATGTTCCACAAGAAAACAAATCGTAATGTCTAAAATAACAAGAGCTGAAATTAGATCCAGTTTATATATTTTCAGTGCCCAGCAAAACACCTTGCACATGGAAGGCACTCATACATCTTGTTTTAAGGGAATCAAGCTTCTAAACCATAAATACAAAGTACAAGGGTAAGATATTCTGTTACAAAATGTTCCTTTCTTCTTCTATTACTCTCGAGTACTTTTTTTTTTCTGTAAAATTCCTGCATCTTGGAAAGGAAGAAATCACCATGTCCACTTAAATGCACCCTTCTAGGGAATTTTTTACAATCGCTTACAATATTTGGCCTTTCAAATTCAGGCCTGAGGTATGAAATAACAAAGCAAAGTTTTGTTTTGTTTTCTCCTGCAAATAGTGTTTTGAATTTATAATATTCCTTCTTAGTTATATACACTGATCTTTCTTTTTTCCTTCTTCCTTTTTTCCTTGATTTCTTCTCTTTTTTTTTTTTTGTTTATTTTTCGTTCTTTCTTTTTTCTGCAAGCATAAACAGAGGGCTCACTATGAGCCATCTAGGCAGGTTCCTTTCATTCTCTATATGCTTAAAAAAAAGAAAAAGAAAAAACATTTAATTCAAAAAAAATTATAATACAGCTGGAAAGCCCTTCCCCTACCAGACGGCCTTTCATCAGTGCCTGAAAGGACAAACCATTGTGCATCACTTTTCAGACAAGTTGCCTCCAAACACTACTACAGCCTGATTAACAAGGGAAGCTAATGATCAGAGGGTGGAGGTCTCTGCGAATAGGCTCTAAGATTAGGGCCATCCATCTGGATGGACAAAGGCCTGGTGTGGACAAAACTAAAATCTGTAAAAGCATGCAAATGAGCTTGTTCACTGAGCCTCAGCATTAAAGCTGGGACCAATCCCATAACGCTTGAAGGATAATTTCAGGACAGATAAAGGTAAATATTACTTCACACAATGGAGAATAATCTTCCTGAACTCATTGCCTCAAACTGCTGGTATAGGTTAAAAATGTAAATGTTAGGTCACCTAATAGATGACAGAGCTACAAGGGGACATTAAGTGGGCCGAGTATGCAATTCATTATCCAATTGTTAACACTTTCAAAAGTGAAAGTGGGCACTCAGTAATGATGCCTGGACAACAGGTGTAGACGTGGTCCATCCCAGATGAACCTGCCTGTGTGGTCACTGGCTTTAAGAAATGCACTGGTCCAGCCCTCCCACTGGGAGGCCAGCAGCACAGTGGATTGCTACATCTTCCTGACACTAGCTGTCACTGTCTGCAGTAGAATAGCGGGGTGGAGGCAACCACCTGCTCACAATGGTGAGGGTGTTTGTGGATTCTTACTGCTGGAAAGCAGCACACTGGCCTCAGCCTGACTGTTCAGACCTCCTTCTTGGAATCATCTATGGCCAAGGTTGGTAGAGCAATGAGAGGAGTTCCAGTGGTGATATCTCAAGCATCTTCCCCACTGTTTCATTGCTAAATGTGTAAAAATGTAAAAAAGCAAGAAAGAAACAGGTGACCCTAAAAGAGGCAGTACTGCTGGAATTATTTAAAATTATTCATAAATTACAGTAAAAGCCTACACACCCATCCATTTCAAGAAATGCCAATGACAAATAAATGCCTGCATAAATGAATGCATAGCTCTCATGAGAGGGAGAAGTAGATTCCTAGGCACTGAAGAGTAGATGACTATGGCAGTCGATCAAAACCATCGTTCACTCAACTTTTTCCCAACAGGGTCCACAAATACCACTTCTGGAACTTTGGGCTAGTAGGTTGAAACATGGGGTGATAATGTCTATTTTTGTGCAAAGTTGGGTCTCATTAATGCCTTTCTTGGCCTTGTCTTTATAGGCAGGGAGAATTACTTTCATAGTAACCGAAGAGGTTTGATAAATTTTAAGTAATAGTAATAATTGCAGTTGCACAGATGGTTGGCCACTTGCCAATTTCACAGCAAACTAGTAAAGCAATAAGAAAATCTACTTGCTCTTAAAATGACTACTATTCTAAATGAAATTACTAAAGAGAGAGGAAATGAGCTAATCACTGGACTAATCAAAACGGTCTCATTATGGGACTCCCTGTGAGCTTTTGTTTGAATTCTCTAATGTGGTTTTTGGCATTAAATAGGATTTTAAAAGCTAAATAGGTCACACTTGCATACAAATGGTTGAGTGAATCACATAACTGCTTTATGTTCCCCAAGATTCTGCTTATCAGGCTGTGTTTTAATTAAAAGGAAAATTGTCAGGGATAGAGGATAACTCAACGTGGGGAATTTGGTATCCTTAGTTGAAGACTAAGACTTCACTTTTTATTCACTTTTCAATTCACAGTCATGATTTCCAAACAACATGAAATTCATTTCATTTTAGTCACAAGCTTAGACACAGAATTTGAAAGCTGGAGGAATTGGAGATCATTTTGTTGAAAAATCTCAAGTCCAGTCATTTTATGGCATGTGTGAAGATGGCTTAGCTAGAAAGAGAGATGTTTAGCCTTGAGAAGCAACAGTAGCCACTACTGGCAAAATTCTGCAGATAACACAATAGTGTGTAAGTCCTCAGTTAGGAAGGCTGCTCTGTGATCACAAGAAACGAAGGTCAGAGAGCAGAATGTAGGTCCTTTCCGCTAAGCGGCCCAGAGCAGCTTCTCAGGCACTTGGATAAGAGATCTTTAGGAGGATCCCTGTCGCTAACCAACTTTTAAGTATAATACGAAAGAAAAAACGTGGTACATGCCCATTATGAACTGCTTTTGTCCTTCTGGATTGAGTCCTTCTAGGAAAATTTGCAGGTGGGGAATTGTCCCACTGCTATTCCTACTCAACACACAAATGTCAGAGGGGTCGTTGGCCCTGGCCTTGTCCATGTGACTCCCCAAAACAGATATGCCACTAGAGCTGCAACTGTCCATCTGTAACTGCTGAAGCCGGGGTTGAGAGCCCACTGCTTCCACGGGGATTTCTCATCCCTAGACATGCACTAGCTGCCACTCACTATATTCTCCAATGACCTGTGTCAGGTCAGCATCACTCGTGAGGCTGCTGCCCTTAGAAAACAATTCGGCTACCACTGAATGCAAACCAAACTTGACTGCAAGGTAAAGGAGTGTCTGTTTTCTTCCTGAGCCACATGAACCACTTGGTCAAGCGGTCCTTGTGAGGTAAGGATGTGGAGAGATGAAAATCATCGAGCAAGAGGTCAAGATCATTGGAGCTCTGAAATTTTAAAAGCAACAGCTGTCCCTGCCTGCCCTGAGAAGTACACCAGAGTCTCTTTACCACCCTCTAAACAGGAGCACTATAGGGCCGCTGCCTCCTACTCTTGGGTTAGTGAGGTGTTTGTGTGTGTGTGTGTGTGTGTGTGTGTGTGTGTGTTTGGTAAAAACATCCTTCCAACAATTTCCCTTGTAGTTGGTTGAATGGCTTCCTTTGGTCTGTAATGTTTCTGTAACGTAATCTCTTTTTCTTGACTTTTGACATTGTAAAGAAATAGACTTTTATGTACTAATGCAATTTTCATTATTTCCATTATCATGATAAAGTAGAGTATCTTCTTCTGGCTACAGCATAATTCCCATCTATTTCTAATGCCATTGCAGTAGCATCTGCTTTCTGGCACCTTCGTAGGATTTCTGTCTATTCTTCCTAAAATGATTGACCCAGCTTCACTGCAGCAGTCCACATTTGCTATCATCTTCTCAGCTTGGCCTACTTCACTAGTTCATTCATGGTGATAGCTTCTTTGAGCATTTCAGGAAAATGGTTTTCTTTGCTTTAAAACTTAAACATAACCATCTTTGATCTTTTGTCTTTAAATTCATTTAAGAAAAGGAGAAAACTCCACTGAGCACGAATATATCGCAGATACTGTCTCCAGGCTTTATGAACATTTGTTTTAAAAAGTGGAATCAAATTAGCTTGTTTAATATCACACTGTGGCCGGGCACAGTGGCTCATGCCTGTAATCCCAGCACTTTGGGAGGCTGAGGCAGGTGGACCACGAGGTCAGGAGTTCGAGACCTGCCTGACCAACATGGTGAAACCCCGTCTCTACTAAAAATACAAAAATTAGCCAGGCGTGGTGGTGCCCACCTGTAATCCCAGCTACTCAGGAGGCTGAGGCAGAGAATTGCTTGAACCCAGGAGGTGGAGGTTGCAGTGAGCCAAGATTGCACCACTGCACTCCAGCCGCCTGGGCGACAGAGCGAGACTCCATCTCAAAAAAAAAAAAAAAAATCACACTGTGTATTCATTAAAAGAAAACACTCTGGCTCCTGAATGACAGTATTTTAAAACCGAATCATGGTTTTAAAAGATTAAAAATTACTATTTTTTCAATGTCCTTACATGTCAACACTACAAGATTCCCACATTAGCAAAATACTGTGAAATATTTTACTGACGGTGAAGTTGGCGCATGCCATCTGTCCTGAAAATGGATCTTATTTTCTTCAATGGAATCAGTGGCTACTTTAATTTACCTTTCTCTTATATTTTTACTTCCAACGTTTCAAAAAAATTATTACATTACTTTTTAATTCATCCAAAGAAATATTCTTGAGGGGAAATTATGACCAGGTAGAATAATGTAGAGACCACATTATATAGCAAATAATTCAGACTTGTATGCCATCTTGATTACAATGAACTGAAAGTTTTCCCTTTTTCTTATATACTTTAATCATTAGAAGAACAAAATTATTAAGTAAAAACGCTAATTTTAACAATGAAGATCCAAGAAGTTAATAAGGTTAGGCCCCAAAACCAACCTAAATAGGAGTTTTGGTTAAAGTGAGATATTTTGCACCAATCCAGGTTCTGTCCATGACTGGCTTACTTGCAAGAAGTGCACAGGGGTAGACAGGGATCCTGACAGACTTAGTTCAGGTCATGTGTTCAGCTGTGTGGTAAAACAGGTGCCAGCAAAGCCATGTGCCGTGCCTCCAATGGAGGCAAACTCAAGATGATGGGAAGAGAATCCAGGTTAATTGAGATAACCTGTGGCACCTTCTATTAGCCCATAATTACCCCGATAGCGTTCCTGTTTGGAGTCACCATAAGGAAATCCAAAACCTATCTCTACGTGTGGACTTGAGATCATCTTTAAGCTACTTGCTTACAGATTAAGTCCTATTTGAGTTATGAACACTAGGTGATGATTTCCTCCAAGGAAGGAAATTTGAAAATTCTTCCACCTCTACCCTTCTGTAACTTGATCCAGTAACAAGGTCTATTTTTACCTTAAAGAGACGTGTTTCTCTTCATCTTCTTCACTTGAACATCTCATTCCAGCTGTCAGTCTCCAGCAAAGATGTCAACTCAGGGCGCCAAGATTTCTCTGGGAAGCACAAGAGCAACTAATAGCAAGACCAAAGGCATTGATTTTGCCCAGCATCCCATGGTTCAGAATGCGATGAATGCCTGAGAGCAAAGCAGTCAGGTTACATTCCTCCCTCCTGAATGTAACTCTAAGAACTGTGCTTAGGGTGATGAAATGCCCTTTTCAGTTAAGCAAATGAAATCCCTGGAACATGCCAAACCTAACGTTTCCATTTGCATCTCTAAAGAAAATCCAGTTGCTTCCTTTATGAAATCAAGCCCTGTTCCTCTGATATTGACCGTTGACAATGGAGACCGTCCTGTCACTTGGGGGATAATGTGGAGCTGCAGTCATTATTGCAAGATGTTCGAGGGGAGAATGAACCTCGCCCTCGGCGTCAGACCTCAAGGCATCTTCCTCGTAGATACTCTTTGCTCACTGCCAGGCTTGGAGTATCCTGGTTCAAATTTTTAGCAAGTGCATTTTTTGAAATCTATTATAGATTTTTGTATAGTTGCAGCTATAACCAGTATCATTTATTCTACTGTGTGCTAAGCACTGGACTAAGCATTGTGGAGATTGTCTCATTTGCAAAGAAACCCTGGTGGGGGGGAGTTGAACTTGTACCCCATTTTTATTGATGAGTTAACGGAGGCATAGGTGGGTTACACAAAATGGCCAAGGTTACGCAGCTAGCAAATGATGGGGCCAGGATTCCAACCCAGGCATGTCTGACTGCAAAGACAACAGAGGTTGTCTATATATACAAAATGTCTGATGATAGCTGAGAAAAGGATTTAAGTTGACAAAATCTTTGAGGAGCTATCCACAAAAACACAGTGATAAGAAGTGTGTACAAGAGGAATGAAGTGAATGCATCCAAGTTGAAAGTCAGTTATGTTAAAATGATTAAACCAGCTAGTGAAGAAACCTATGCCAACTACATTAACAGCTCACCGTTGATATGGGAAATGGGTGACTGGAAAACTCCTTTTCGTGTGGTACCAACAAAAACAGCTGGTCTGAAGAAAATAAAATAAAACAACAAACAATTTATCAGCCAGCAGAAAAAAAATTAACTCTAGAAGTAGGAAGATATAGTCAGGAGTGACATCCCTGACTCCTTCAACAGGTCCCATTTCTTCCTGCTGAGGCGGAAATGTGACCTCCCCCAGCCCCAACATCTTATCTGCACCTCGTTCTGGGTTCTTCCCCCTCACTGCCTGACCTCTCAGCAGCCTGGCTCAGCCAGTCACACCCTCCTTCTGGAAACACTGCTTTCCCTGAGGTTTGTGGAACCACCTTGCGGTGTTCCTGCGCCTCACAGGCCACTCCTGCCTGGATCCTGTGCAGAATCTTCTTTCTCTCCCATAACCACTCACTGGGGTACCCCCGCTCTGTCCTTAGTTTGCTTCTCCTTTTAATTTATATTCACTCTCACTGCTTTCAGCACCAGCTTCATGCCGATGACTCACACGTTGGCATCCCCAGCCAGACCTCTCTCTGCCTGCTCAACGTCTCCATGTGGATGTCCAATAAACCTCTCAAACCTAACGTGTCCAAAACAGAACTCTTGATTCCCCCCAAACCTGTTCCTCCTCCTTTCCTCCCCATATCACTTCACAGCACCCCATCTACCTGGTGGCTCAGGCCAAGTACCCCAGATGCATCATCGATTTTGTTCTTGTCATCAGCACCCACATCCAGTGTACCACTAAGGCTTCTCCTGCAACTCCTGTCCTGAATTGGACTCCTGGCCACAACTGCTTCTGCCGCCCTGGTCCAAGCCACCTTGCTCTCTATCCTGAACTGTGGGAACTGCATCCTATGTGCTCTCCCCTGTCTACCTCTCTACAATCCATTGTCTACACAACAAGATTTTTTTTTAACATGTAAATTACATCCTGTCATTTTCCTGTGTAAACCTTTCCAGTGTCTTCCCATGGTTACTGGAATAAAATTCAAACGTCTTACTATGGTTGGTAGGACCCACAAAACTTGGATCTTGCTTTGTTTCACACCTGCATTTTTCTCCTCTCCCCTCACTCACCATAGGACAACTGTCTCTTTCTCTAATAGACCAAGCTCCTTCTCACCTCCATGGTTCAAGCAGTTCTCGTCCCTCAGCCTCCCAAGTAGCTGGGAGTACAGGTGCTGGCTAATTTTTGTATTTTTAGTAGAGACGGGGTTTCACCATGTTGGCCAGACTGGTCTCAAACTCCTGACCTGAGATGATTCGCTCACCTCAGCCTCCCAGGATGCTGGGATTACAGGCGTGAGCCACCGCGCCCGGCCGAGATTGGTATTCTTTATTCTTCCTGCTTGCTCATAATGGAGTCCAAGTGCAAATACATGAAATTTGAGGTAAGATGAGAATTCACTGCAGACCAAAGGCTATGTGCCTCTGACCACTCAAGAAGTATTTCTGACAGGACAAAAAGAAAAGTTGGAATTGCTGTGAGTGCTAAAGGGCTCATTTCTGCTTTGCCTACCTGCCCTGGCTCTACTGTTTATTTTTTCGCCTTAGAAAGCTCAGAGGCAGTGATGATGTTTTCAGACACTCTGACCCCCTAATTGCTCCCCAGACTTGGCCTGAGTTGCCATCACCAATGCCAACATGGTACCAGCATCAGGCAGAAATTCCCCACCTGGGCCTGTAAATGAGCCCAAAATAGAGCAAGAATAAATGATGATGCTACAGCTCAAGCACTAACATTCAGTTTCTCTCAACCTCTTCCCCTAGGCAAGTAATAAAAACATCTAGACCAGATTTAGAAGTATCCATCCATAAATCATGACCTTGCCCTGGAAACTTCATGTTTATTTATATATCTACATGGGGCCAGCAAAGCCAACTTTTATTTCTGGTATATTTTTTGATATTTGGAACCCCAACAGCAATTATAAAAAAAAATTTATGTACATATTTTTATTCACAAAATAAGTCAGTTTTGGTGTAGTCTTTTTCAGACTTTCAGTGGAAACATACAGGCCCTTAAATGAGCAGGAATGTTTATTTCCTGGTTAGCCAAGCCAGACAAGAAGTATTTACCTCCTAAATGTCAACAAATCAGTCCCCTTGTCCCCATGCCCCATTGGCATGATCCTAATTTCAGCTCACTTTATCTTTTACCTGAATAGTTGCCTCCTACTCAGCCTGTCTCTGATCCATTCTCCACTCAGCAGCTAAAGCACAGTCCCTATCCAGTCATAGTCCCACTTAACACATTTCCCTGGCTGTCCATGGCAGTGTCATCCTATTGCACAACTCTAGGGGGCCACTCACATTCTCCTTAAGATAAAACCTCAACCCCCACACTTCCATTCCCTTCCCTGTTTTCTCTGTAGTACCTATCACTTTCTGACACAGTACATATTTTGTTTGTCTTTCTCCCCCAACCTGAATGTAAGTTTCCTTAGGGCAAGAATCTTGTCTCTTTTGTTCCCTCCTTTATCCCTAGCACATGAAAGAGTACCCAGGACGTCAAGGGATCTCAACAAACATCAATTGAATGAGTGGATGAATTCACGAATGAACAAATGAATGACATTCAAAAGCCCTGACCATGGCACACAAGGGCCAGCATGACAGAATCACCACCTTGTTCTCCAGCCTCACCTCCCATGTCTCTCTACTTTGCTTTTGCACCTCCGTGAAATTGGCTTTCTTTTAGTTCATTGAACACATCCTGCTTCTTCCTGCTCCAAGGCCATGGCACTTGTTTTCTCCCCTGCTGGAAGACTCTCCCTTCCTCTCCTTTTGCCTAGATAATTCCCACTCATCCTTGGGAGCTCAGGTTAAACATCACTTATTAGAGAAACCTTCCCTGGCTCCCAGGAGAGATGCAGGTCTAGTCCACTGGTGCATGCTTCCATGGCTTTCTGACTTCTTAGCTCTTGTTTCCCTTCTAAAGACTGCCTGGCCAGGGTAGCTCACACCTGAAATTGCAGCACTTTGGGAGGCCGAGGTGGGCAGATCACGAGGTCAGGAGTTTGAGACCAGCCTAGCCAACATGGTGAAACGCCATCTCTACTAAAAATACAAAAATTAGCCAGCTGTGGTGGCAGGCACCTATAATCCCAGCTACTCGGGAGGCTGAGGCAGGAGAATTGCTTGAACTCAGGACGCAGAGGTTGCAGTGAGCCGAGATCGCACCACTGCACTCCAGCCTAGGTGACAGAGCAAGACTCCGTCTAGAAAAAAAAAATATATATATGTATCTATATATAGACTGGCTAATGTCAGTATCCTCCCTCCCAACCCTGTGGAAAATGCAGCCCATTAGGCACAATCTGGCACAGTGTCTGACCTGGAGCAGACACCCAGCAAGCTTTGTTGAATGAAAAAGGAAGACATGTTAGACTTGTTCAGTCTACAAAGGTTAAAACTAGAACCAAGAACAGGAAGTTCAGGAAGACAAATTTCAGCTCAACATAAAGAAGGACTTCCTAAAAGTCACAGCTGACCCCAGTATGGGGTGGCCTGTCTCAGGTGGTGGAACATGCAGGAAGGAAGCTGATAGAAACCAAGAATCAGATGGGACTTTGGACCTGATCCATGGTTTCTACACTGAGTCTCAGGATGTGCGGACAGTCTTGAAGTCTGCCTTAAGGTTTTCTGGCACTGCAGATTTTGCCTCTCTCTGTCTTTAGAGAAAAGAATGTAAATTTCTGTGGAAGAGAAACTGTGGGCTTCAAAATTGAACACACAGTGTATCTTATTATACTTGTTTAATTATCCATATTCTCCACTAGAGTATAAACTCTGTAAGACTGGAAGGAACATGAGACAGTTGTTTTTGTCTGAAGCAACAGAAACAATTCTAACTATATTAAGGAAAAAGGGATTCATTGGAAAGTTTCTGACTCAGAGGTAGAATTTTGACCGCATTTATGCTCCTGGTACCACCTTAAATGTCTTTGAAAGACAAAACCTGGCACATAATCACTAGGAAGCATTTTTTTAAAAAAAACAAAAACAGATTATTTTAAAAATTATTTACCCCCTTCATAATATAGGGAGGTGAATGACTAACTTTTAACCAATAAACCCATGGCCATTTACTGAAATCTGGGCACAGAGAACAATCTATAGAGAAGAAGAAAATATTTCTATGTGAAAAATATGAAGTAAGATGATACTGTTGATGAAGACTATCTCTTAAAGAAATTACTCAGCCAGAACATCAAATTCTGATAAAAAGGAAAATCAGAAAACAATTCATCTTGGGCCTGGACAATGGACTCTATACTTACTTAAAAGTGAAATAACCCTTGAAATCAAGCTTGCAACTTATTTTTAAATAAAATGAATGCAAACATTAATAAGGAAGCTGCCTGAACATGATATAAAATATTCTTATTGAATAGATATTTCTAGATTCTCTTGAATGCAGCACAATGTACATTCTAGAAACAATAATGTCTGAAGCATTATGTTCTTTCGTGGTTGAAGCGTGGATGTTCTTTCATGATAAAGCTTCAGTTATTACAGTCCTGCCATAGTAGGCGTGCAATTCACTAAGTTGGGATTGAATCTTTTCCCTAAGTGATGAAGTCTTAAAAAAACAAACAAACAAACAAAACAAAAAACCAAAGAGACAGGATTTCCTAATAATATAAACTTTCCAGCACTATTGATGAAGAATAGTTGAGGGTTTGTTAGCTTAACTATCATATAAAATAAACACACTTTCATATTGAAAAATAAGGTTCTGTAAAAGAGTTAATAAAAATTCTTAAACACAAATTTTAAGAAGCATTTTCATTTCTTTTGTGACTCATGAGTGTTAGCCCCACTGTATTAGTCAGGGTTCTCTAGAGGGACAGAGCTGATAGGATATATATATATATATATAGGATGTGTATATATATATATGATGTGTGTATATATATATATAGGATGTATATATATATATAGGATGTGTATATATATATAGGATCTGTATATATATATATAAGTTTATTAAGTATTAACTCACACAATCACAAGGTCCCACAATAGGCCATCTGCAAACTGAGGAACAAGGAAGCCAATCCAAGTCCCAAAGCTGAAGAACTTGGAGTCTGATGTTCAAGGTTAGGAAGCATCCAGCATGGAAGAAAGAGGTAGGCTGGGAGGCTAGGCCAGTCTAGCCTTTTCACGTTTTTCTGCCTGCTTTATAGTCTGGCCATGCTGGCAGCTGATTAGATGGTGCCCACCCGGATTAAAGGTGGGTCTGCCTTTCCCAGCCCACTGACTCAAATGTTAATCTCCTTTGGCAACACCCTCACAGACACACCCAGGAACAATACTTTGCGTCCTTCAGTCCAATCAAGTTGACACTTAGTATTAACCATCGCACCCACAGACTTGCACATCATACCAGGAGATGATCCTCTTCTGGAATAAAAAGAAAAGTAATAGGCCAGGCACAGTGGCATATGCCTGTAATCCGAGCACTTTGAGAGGCTGACGGGGGTGAATCACTTGAGCTCAGGAGTTCACAACCAGCTTGGGCAACATGGCAAAACCCCGTCTCTACAAAAAAAATAGAAAAATTAGCCAGACATGGTGGCTGTAGTTCCAGTTACTCGGGATGCTGAGGTAGGAGAATCACCTGAGCCTGGGGAGCTCTACAACATGCCTGTAGTTCCAGTTACTCAGGAGGCTGAGGTGGGAGAATCACCTGAGCCTGGGGAGGTCAAGGTTGCAGTGAGCTGAGATCATCTCACTGTATTCCAGCCTGGGTGACACAGTGAAACCCTGTCTTGAAAAAAAAAAAAAGAAACAAAAAAAGAAAAGTAATGAATCTAATGAAAAGTAGGAATTCAAGGAAATAGATAATGGGCAAACTTTCATAATTTTTAATATCCTTCATATGGTACCCACGTTTCAGTCTTTGAGGAATTTTCAAATTTAGAATATCAAAATGAAGCCCAGCTTCCTGTCGTCTGACATACGAGATACAAATGGTTCAGAAAGAGTAAAATGTGCAGATCACACTAAAACATTCATGTTAGTCAATAACTCCAGGCTTTTCCTCACAAGATGTTTCTTCCTGAGGCCTAACAAGTGGCAAAGTTGGTGGATGTGAGTTTTGATTCCTCTTCCTTCTTCAGCCTACCCCTGACAGTTTCTAGAGAACGAGAATGTGGGTGGTCTATAGTCAAGAGCCAACTGTAATTTCTACATCCTTTTCTGCCTCTTGAGAAGATATTTTAAGGAACACTTGATATTGAATACTTAGACATCAAATATTGCAATTTCCTCTGGAAAAAAATGATGTGGGTACAGGTTACAGTCAATGTCATTCTTCAAGAATTAGTTCCAAGGCAAAGGGAAAATGTGACCTGAGAATGAAAGGAAAGAGAGCCACAATTATTTGGCTTCACACTGTTTAAAAGTCCAATCCTTTTTTGACACCATACTTAAGAGTCGAAAAAAGATTGGGCTTTTAAATAATGTAAAGCCAAATAATTGTATAGCTTATAATTCAATTCTAAAATGCCTGAGTTATTGAGTGAATTTTTCCTATGCATAAATGTAATAAATGTAGAGAACCTCTAAAATAAGCAACCATAGAAGTAAGAGTTAGAAAATTATTTTTAATGCTTTAAATAAAAGCAGGGATGGGAATCTTTAGGAAATGGGGACATAAGGAACTTTCTTTTCTTTTGTGCCATGCAGAGAGTTGCGAATGAAAAGCTTCCACTGGGAGCAAAGGTGGGATGACCAATCATGTTCCCAGTGCTCTGCCTCAGCCGGGTCCTTCCCAGCAATGGGGACTGTAGAGAGAAGGAGGAACCCCCACTGAACCCAAACAACCAACACTAGCTCAGTCAGCTCTCAGGTCAGCATAGATGCCCACAGACACTGTCCTGTGTTCACACAGAGGCCTGGCTCTGGCAGAACAAATGGTGCTATAGTGTGTTGATTGCTGGTTGCCCCCCCAGAAACCTGTTCACGTAGAACCTGCAAGTGTCACCTTATTTGGAAAAAGGTCCAAATAAGGAAATGTAATCATCCTAGATTACTGAGCTGGGCCCTAAATCCAATGACAAAAGTTCTTATAAGAGACAGAAGAGGAGAGAACAGAGACACACAGAGGAGAAGGCTGTATGAAGATGGAGACCTAGATGTGAGTTATGAAGCCATAAGTCATATTTGTAAATGCAGTAGATAAATACTTAGACATTCAGATCCAAGTTCATATTTTGGGGGATTGTTCTTTCAGCTTCACAAGTTAAAGCCAACCACCTGGCTGTTATGATTCTTAGGATGCTTGCTTTTCAGTCCAGGATTTTCTACTTGATGAGTAAGCTCAAGCTCTCAAGCCCACCATAATATTCTGAAGGAAGAGTTTCTACCCCAGAGATGTTCCAGGACTATTCTGCATGTGGACTCTGATTTCTGATCATTTGTTTTAAATTTATCAGCTCTACAGATACGGCCCTCTCAAGTTAGATCCAGAGTAGAGGCCATCCAATTTTTTGTAAGTTCCCTAATGAAAGACCTATGGGCTAACAAAATGTTCCATCTAAACTGTGTCTTTCCCTATTACTAGTTAAGGTTTGGCCTGTGTGTTATGGCTAAACATGGAAAACATGGCTAATTTGATAACTAAAACTTGAGTCGCGGCTTACCCCTGTGTCATTTTCTGGAGAAATTGGACAAGACTAAAATAATCTTTCCTTAGCTTTGAGTTCCATGAGAAGGAATCCGTTATGGGCTGTATCACCAAGATTCTTTATTGCAACCTGACTACCTTAAGCAGAAAAATAATTATTGGGAAAATACTGGGTAACTCAGAAGCCCAATGAGAAGGCTGGAAAATTGAGCTCACAAAACACACAAAACCCAAAGTAAAGACATAGTCAGCTAGGAAGCTGCTGCTGAATACTTCCCTGGCCACTCTACTCAGCTGCCCCTGGATGCTGTCACTACCCATAGACACTGTTGTAAACCACCATGAGAAACACCGAGGAACAAATCTCACAGTCCCTTCATCACTACACCACTCACTTAAGACTTAGAGTCTGGATGTACACTCAGCCAAGTCAGGTACAAGGAAGGGGTAGAGCACCTCCAACTCACAGCTTCTCCAGTGGTTCCTGTTGTCCACCACAACTCTCGCAACAAGGGATTTCCTCACACTAGAAATGTTCAATGACCAAAAATCATGACAAATGAGTTAATCTTTAAGACTCCTAGAGACCCTGGTCATTTCTGTCCATGTAGAACCCAAACCATAATGTGACTTTCATTGAGACTCAAGATCGGAAGAAATAACTTCATGACAGATGTGGATAATGACTTCCACTGAACCAAAAAGCCATGCAGTCTTGTTCTCCTCCTTTGAGCTTATTCTTAATACTACTTTAGGAAGAGCACTTCATACCACTAGGCCTTCCCATTTACAGAAACAGAACTTAGCAGTCTCTTACATGTAGGCAATGAGGCTTCATCATCACAAACTATGGTAGCCCTAAACAATACTTCCCTCCTTTTCTCATATCATAGGCACATGTTCAATATAGTAACATCTAGACTCTCTAAAATCTAACCTGGATTAGTCCAATTAACAGACACTGAGCACTGGATTCACTCTACTTTTACTGAAATGACCTTTTGGACAATGCCATTAATCTGTATTAAAGGTATTAATAAGAGAAAGTCCATAACAATTAATTACTGTGTAGACTGCATGAATGAATGCAGTACGTTCTCAATTGCAACCCACAGGAGAACTTTTCCTCTGGTCTCAGTATCAATAAAAGCTGTGCTCTTGAGCACCTGTTTTTGTTTTATGTCACCAGCAGGACACTGTGAATCTTGTAATGGATCATATTTCCCTGCTAAACTGGCTCTGAGAGGGTTAGAATAAAACTTGAAGGCCAGCTCTTACATGTTTACAAGGCTCTAAGGCATGCATTTTCTGTACTAACTCACTTCTGGATCTATCTTATTTTCTTGCCTTTACTTTCCCTGACAAATTTCCACTAATTTCACCCTGTTATTTGTATGTGTTTGTAATCTGCTTTAGATTATTTTAGGAACAGAGTGAGGACAGGAGTAAGGGAATGAGAGAAAAAATGAAGAAAGGAAAGAAGGAAGGCAGTCAGACTGCCGTAAAATTCTTGACCTATCATGTTTGTTTGGCTAAGTCACATCTAGAAGGTGAGCTCTCTAAGGTGAAGACCATAACACTGATTATTATACACTCAAACTTACAACTCTCAACAAGTGAATAAGTTTTAATGGATAAAAATATCCAATGAATGTACTTACATGCTACTGAATTATGCATTTGAAAATAGTTAAAATGGTAAATTTCATGTTATATATATTTTACTGCAATGAAAAATCTAATGCTCTCCATTAAGATAAAATCCATTAAGATTCTGTAGCTCTAAATTAATTTTAAGTTGCTTCGAGGAAAGAACTGTCTTATTTATCTTTGCAACATAACTTCCGTGCCACCAGAGTCTACAACAACAAAATGTACATGTCTGGTGTTTGATATATGTTTCTTGGATTGAATTACCTGTAGATAAGTAGCCTTTACATGTAGGCAGTCACTTATGTATATGATTTGGGGCCCCTAATGGTTCTAGATGCAAGAAACTATCCCTTCGTCATTTGTATTAATAGTAACTGAAATCACTACCATTCCTTTGGGTTAAGCCCATACTAAAGATAGACATCTAATCATTAAAAGGGCATTTTTTTTATTGCATCACTTAAATAACTATCTGGCTGAGAGTATGACTGGGAAAAGGAGCTGGAAAACAGGTGAGTTTGGGTGAGGTTGATGTTAGGAGGAGAAATTGAGATATTTCAAACAAGGTACATTTTAGAACATAGCAAGCCTATGAGGCCTGGTGAGAGGGAGAATCCATACTTTGTAGTGGAAAGCCATGAGCGTCCAGAAAGCATGGTAAGGGCACTGCATAACCCTGGGGCAAAGAGACATTCCGAAAGATGGGAAAGGGGGTGCTGCAATTCTGGAAAGTTGTTTTTATGAATATGAAGACTGAGCGGCTTTCTGCCCAAAGTAGCCTAGAATCACACTGAACACTAGGTCATCGGCTTCAGAGCCGGAGGGAATCTTAAATGTCATTCAATCCCACACCCTTCCCTTACAACTGTAAATGCATAGACACAAAGAGTGGCGATTTGTGATATAACCAAAAGAATACCCAGACCCCCAAGTCAGTGGCACTTCCACAGAATCCTCCTAACTTGTTTATGTGGAATGGGAGAAGATTTTTATTTCCCAAATTGTGCCTGATTATTTGATTCTAGCAGCTGGAACACCAATGATTTCTCAGAGTAATGGAGTGCTTAATACACACCAGGTGGTAAAGCTTGTGATGATGGGGGAGAATTCAAACTGCAAACCACAGCAGGTGAAAATCCCACACTGACTCAGGAATACTGTGTGTAATCTTTCCCTGATGGAGGTGGATGATTTGTTTACATTTTAGAAGATACTTGGCAGCCCTTGCTGCCATTTTGCCAAGAAAAAATCTCCTTCCAACACTACATTCACTTGGGTATTCATTATTCCAACCCCACAGGCTAAAAATATACAAGCACCATGGGAGGAAGGAGAGGGGAAGGGGGCAAGCATATGCCTTACTCAGTGCGCTACCACCTCATTAGTGCCACTCCATCTTGCAGCGGCCAAAATGGGTTTAAGCCATTGTAACAAGCAGTTCCCTTGCTCAGCTTTAGCACCCATCTTCCCTCCCACTGATCCTCTTCTGTATTTTCTCTTTTTCTGCCTCTTGAAAGTGCTGTATGCTTTTGATAACCATCTGGTTCATTTCCATTAGGTGTGGCTGCCTCTTCTTCTCTTTCTTTCCCCTTCCATGTTTGGGAAACACATTCAATGTTACGCAGTGGCTCCTGTATACTCAGTGTGCTTGAGTCACCATGTTTACAGAATCTGAAAGACAAAGGTAAGGTAATTCAGAAGTACCTCTGTGTCAGTGAATGTTTCTACCCTTAAGTTCCCCTCAAAGATCTGAAGTTGCAGGTAAGTAAGAGTTAAACTCACATGGAAATGACAATTACTAACTCCTTTTTTAAATTAATTAATTTTTTTTTATTATACTTTAAGTTCTGGGATACATGTGCAGAATGTTCAGGTTTGTTACATAGGTATACGCGTGCCATGGTGGTTTGCTGTACCCATCAACCTGTCATCTACATTAGGTATTTCTCCTAACGCTATCCTCCCCTGGCCCCACACCCCTCAACAGACCCCAGTGTGTGATGTTCCCCTCCCTGCATCCATGTGTTCTCATTGTTCGACTCCCAGTTATGAATGAGAACATGTGGTGTTTGGTTTTCTGTTCCTGTGTTAGTTTGCTGAGAATGATGGTTTCCAGCTTCCTCCATGTCCCTGCAAAGGACATAAACTCATCCTTTTTTATGACTGCATAGTATTCCATGGTGTATATGTGCCACATTTTCTTTATCCAGCCTATCACTGATGGACACTTGGGTTGCTTCCAAGTCTTTGCTATAGTGAAAAAAATGCTGCAATAAGCATACGTGTGCATGTGTCTTTATAATAGAACGATTTATAATCCTTTGGGTATATACCCAGTAATAGGATTGCTGGGTCAAATGGTATTTCTAGTTCTAGATCCTTGAGGAATCACCACACCGTCTTCCACAACGGTTGAACCAATTTATACTCCCACCAACAGTGTAAAAGTGTTCCTATTTTTCCACATCCTCTCCAGCATCTGTTGTTTCCTGACTTTTTAATGATCACCGTTCTAACTGGTGTGAGATGGTATCTCATTGTGGTTTTGATTTGCATTTCTTTAATGACCAGTGATGATGAGCTTTTTTTCATGTTTGTTGGCTGCACAAATGTCTTCTTTTGAGAAGTGTCTGTTCATCTCCTTTGCTCACTTTTTGATGGGGTTTTTTGTTTTTTCTTTGCAAATTTGTTTAAGTTCTTGTAGATTCTGGATATTAGCCCTTTGTCAGATGGATAGATTGCAAAAATTTTCTCCCATTTTGTAGGTTGCCTGTTCACTCCAATGATAGTTTATTTTGCTGTGCAGAAGCTCTTTAGTTTAAATAGGTCCCATTTGTTCATTTTGGCTTTTGTTGCCATTGCTTTTGGTGTTTTAGTCATGAAGTCTTTGTCCATGCCTATGTCCTGAATGGTATTGCCTAGGTTTTCTTCTAGGGTTTTTATGGTTTTAGGTCTTACATTTAAGTCTTTAATCCATCTTGAGTTAGTTTTTGTATAAGGTGTAAGGAAGGGGTCCAGTTTCAGTTTTCTGCATATGGCTAGCCAGTTTTCCCAACACCATTTATTAAATAGGGAATCCTTTCCCTACTGCTTGTTTTTGTCAGGTTTGTCAAAGACCAGATGGTTGTAGACGTGTGGCATTGTTTCTGAGGCCTCTGTTCTGTTCCATTGGTCTATATATTTGTTTTGGTATCAGTACCATGCTGTTTTGGTTACCATAGCCTTGTAGTATAGTTTGAAGTCAGGGAACATGATGCCTCCAGCTTTGTTCTTTTTACTTAGGATTGTCTTAGCTATCCGGGCTCTTTTTTGATTCCATATGAATTTTTTTTTTTTTGACATGGACTGTCACTCTTGTTGCCCAAGCTGGAGTGCAGTGGCCCAGTCTTGGCTCACTGCAAACTCCGCCTCATGAGTTCAAGCAATTCTCCTGCCTCAGCCTCCTGAGTAGCTGGGATTACAGATGCCCACCACCACGCCTGGCTAATTTTTGTACTTTTACTAGAGACGGGGTTTTGTCCTATTGGCCAGGCTTGTCTGGAACCCCTGACCTCAGGTGATCGCCCGCCTCAGCCTCCCAAACTGCTGGGATTACAGCCATGAGCCACTGCACCCAGCCTCAGATAAAATTTAAAGTAGTTTTTTCTAATTCTGTGAAGAAAGTAAATGGTAGCTTGATGGGGATTGCATTGAATCTATAAATTATTTTGGGCAGTATGGCCATTTTCACAATACTGATGTTTCCTATCCATGAGCATGGAATATTTTTCTATTTGTGTCCTCTCTTATTTCCTGGAGCAATGGTTTGTAGTTCTCATTGAAGAGGTCCTTCACATCCCTTGTAAGTTTTATTCCTAGATATTTTATTCTCTTTGTAGCAATTGCAAATGGGAGTTCACTCATGATTTCGCTCTCAGTTTGTCTATTATTGGTGTATAGGAATGCTTGTGATTTGCACACATTGATTTTGTATCCTGCAACTTTGCTGAAGTTGCTTATCAGCTTAAGGAGATTTTTGGCTGAGACGATGGGGTTTTCTAAATATACAATCATGTCATCTGCAAACAGAGACTATTTGACTTCCTCTCTTCCTATTTGAATACCCTTTATTTCTTTCTCTGCCTGATTGCCCTGGCCAGAACTTCCAATAGTATGTTGAATAAGAGTGGTGAGAGAGGGCATCGTTGCTTGTGCCAGTTTTCAAAGAGAATGCTTCCAGCTTTTGCCCATTCAGTATGATATTGGGCTGTAGGTTTGTCATAAATACTCTTATTATTTTGAGATATGTTCCATCAATACCTAGTTTATTGAGAGTTTTTAGCATGAGGCGGTGTTGAATTTTATCAAAGGCCTTTTCTGCATCTATTGAGATAATCATGTGGTTTTTGCCATTGGTTCTGTTTATGTGATGGATTACATTTATTGATTTGCATATGTTGAACCAGTCTTGCATCCCAGGGATGAAGCCAACTTGATGGTGGTGGATAAGCTTTTTGATGTGCTGCTGGATTTGGTTTGCTAGTATTTTATTGAGGATATTTGCATCAATGTTCATTAGGGATATTGGCCTGAAATTTTCTTTTTTTGTTGTGTCTCTGCCAGGTTTTGGTATCAGAATGATACTGGTCTCATAAAATGAGTTAGATGAGATTTCCTCTTTTTCTATTGTTTGGAATCGTTTCATAAGGAATGGTACCAGCTCCTCTTTGTAACTCTGGTAGAATTCGACTGTGAACCTGTCTGGTCCTGGGCTTTTTGGTTGGTAGACTATTAATTACTGCCTCAATTTCAGAACTTGTTATTGATCTATTCAGGGATTCAACTTCTTCCTGCTTTAGACTTAGGAGAGTGTATGTGTCTAGGGATTTATCCATTTGTTCTAGATTTTCTAGTTTATTGGCATAGAGGTGTTTATAGTATTCTCTGATGGTAGTTTGTATTTCTGTGGGATCAGTGGTGATATCCCCTTTATCATTTTTTATTGTGTCTATTTTATTCTTCCCTCTTTCTTCTTTATTAGTCTGGCTCGTGGTCTATCAATTTTGTTGATCTTTTCAAAAAACCAGCTCCTGGATTCATTGATTTTTCAAAGGGTTTTTCATGTCTCTATCTCCTTCAGTTCTGCTCTGATCTTAGTTATTTCTTGTCTTCTGCTAGCTTTTGGATTTGTTTGCTCTTGCTTCTCTAGTTCTATTAATTGTGATGTTAGCATGTCAATTTAGGTCTTTCCTGCTTTCTCTTGTGTGCATTTAGTGTTATAAATTTCCTTCTAAACCCTGCTTTAGTTGTGTTCCAGAGATTCTGGTGTGTTGTGTCTTTGTTCGCATTGGTTTGAAAGAGCATCTTTATTTTTGCCTTAATTTCATTATTTACCCAGTAGTCATTCAGGAGCAGGATGTTCAGTTTCCATGTAGTTGTTCGGTTTTGAGTGAGTTTCTTAATCCTAAGTTATAATTTAATTGCCCTGTGGTCTGAGAGACTGTTTGCTATGATTTCCATTCTTTTGCATTTGCTGAGGAGTGTTTTACTTCCAATTATGTGGTCAATTTTAGAATAAGTGTGATGTGGTGCTGAGAAGAATGTATATTCTGTTTGTTTGGGGTGAAGAGTTCTGTAGATGTCTGTTAGGTCTGCTTGGTCCAGAGCTGAGTTCAGGTCCTGAATATCCTTGTTAATTTTCTGTCTCATTGATCTATCTAATATTGACAGTGTGGTTTTAAATTCTCCCACTATTATTGTGTGGGAGTCTAAGTCTCTTTGTAGGTCTCTAAGGACTTGCTTTATGAATCTGGGTGCTCCTGTATTGGGTGCATATATATTTAGGATGGTTAGCTCTTGTTGCCTTGATCCCTTTACCATTATGTAATGGGCTTCTTTGTCTCTTTTGATCTTTGTTCGTTTAAAGCCTGTTTTATCAGAGACTAGGATTGCAACTCCTGCTTTTTTTTTGCTTTCCATTTGCTTGGTAGATCTTCCTCCATCCCTTTGAGCCTATGTGTGTCTTTGCATATAAGATGGGTCTCCTGAATACAGCACACCAATGGGTCTCAACTCTTTATCCAATTTGCCAGTCTGTGTCTTTTAATTGGGGCATTTAGCCCATTTACATTTAAGGTTAATATTGTTATGTGTGAATTTGATCCTGTCATTATGATGCTAGCTGGTTATTTTGCCCATTAGTTGATGCAGTTTCTTCATAATATTGATGGTCTTTACAATTTGGTATGTTTTTGTAGTTGTTGGTACCGGTTGTTCTTTTCCATGTTTAGGGCTTCCTTCAGGAGCTCTTGTAAGGCAGTTCTGGTGGTGAAAAAAAATCTCTCACCATTTGCTTGTCTGTAAAGGATTTTGTTTCACCTTCGCTTATAAAGCTTAGTTTGGCTGGATATGAAATTCTGGGTTGAAAATTCTTCTTTTTAGAATGTCGAATATTGCACCCACCCACCCCCCTTCTGGCTTGCAGGGTTTCTGCAGAGAGATCTGCTGATAGTCTGATGGGCTTCCCTTTGTGGATAACCTGACCTTTCTCTCTGGCTTCCCTTAACTTTTTTTTCTTTATTTCAACCTTGGTGAATCTGACCATTATGTGTCTTGGGGTTGCTCTTCTTGAGGAGCATCTTTGTGGTGTTCTCTGTATTTCCTGAATTTGAATCTTGGCCCATCTTGTTATGTTGGGGAAGTTCTTTTGGATAATATCCTGAAGAGTGTTTTCCAACTTGGTTCCATTCTCCCCGTCACATTTAGTATACTAGTCAAACATAGGTTTGGTCTTTTCACATAGTCCCATATTTCTTGGAGGCTTTGTTCATTTCTTTTCATTCTTTTTTCCTAATCTTGTCTTCACACTTCATTTCATTAAGTTGATCTTTAATCTCTGATATCCTTTCTTCTGCTTCATCTATTCAGCTATTGATACTTGTGTATGCTTCACCAAGTTCTTGTGCTGTGTTTTTCAGCTCCATCAGGTCGTTTATGTTCTTCTCTAAACTGGTTATTCTAGTTAGCAACTCATCTAACCATTTTTCAAGGTTCTTAGCTTCCTTGCATTGGATTAGAACATGCTTCTTTAGCTTGGAGAAGTTTGTTATTACCCATCTTCTGAAGTCTACTTCTGTCAATTCATCAAACTCATTCTCCATGCAGTTTTGTTCCCTTGCTGGAGAGGAGCTGTGATCCTTTGGAAGAGAAGAGGTGTTCTGGTTTTTGCACTGGTTCCTCCCCTTTTTCGTGGATTTATCTACAAAGATTTATCAAAGACCAAAGTCTCTGCTGCTGGCGATCTTCAGATGGGGTTTTGGTGTGGAGGTCCTTTTTGTTGATGTTGATACTTTTCCTTTCTGTTTGTTAGTTTGCCTGCTAGCAGTCAGGCCCCTCTGCTGCAAGTGTGCTGAAGTTTGCTGGAGGTCCACTCCAGCCCCTGTTTGCCTGTGTATCACCAGCAGAAGCTGCAGAACAGCAAAGATTGCTGCCGGTTTGTTCTTCTGTAAGTTCCATCCCAGATGGGCACCTGCCAGATGCCAGCTGGAGCTGTCCTGTATGAGGTGTCTGTCAGCCTCTGCTGGGAGGGGTCTCCCAGTCAAGAGGCATGGGGGTCAGGGACCCACTTGAGGAGGCAGTCTGTCCTTTAGCAGAACTCAAGCATTGTGCTGGGAGATCCTCTGCTGTCTTCAGAGCTGGCAGGCAAGAACGTTGTAGTCTGCTGAAGCTGCACTCACAGCTGCCCCTTCCCCCAGGTGCTCTGTCCCAGGGAGATGGGAGTTTTATCTATAAGCCTCTGACTGGGGCTGCTGCCTTTCTTTCAGAGATGCCCTGCCCAGAGATGAGGAATCTAGAGAGGTAGTCTGGCTACAGTGGCTTTGCCAAGCTGCGGTGGGTTCCACACAGTTCGAACTTCCTGGTGGCTTTCCTTATGCTGTGAAAGGAAAACTGCCTACTCAAGCCTCAGTAATGGTGGATGCCCCTCACCCCACCAAGCTAGAGTGTCCGAGGTCATCTTCCAACTGCTGTGTTGGCAGCGAGAATTTCAAGCCAGTGGATCTTACCCTACTGGGCTCTGTGGTGGTAGGATCCACTGAGCTAGACCACTTGGCTCCCTAGCTTTAGCCCCCTTTTCAGGGGAGTGAATGGTTCTCTCTCACTGGTGTTCCAGGTGCCACTGGGGTATTAAAAGAAAATCCTGCAGCTAGCTCAGTGTCTGCCCAAATGGCTGTCCAGTTTTGTCCTTGAAACCCAGGGCCCCGGTGGTGTAGCTACTGGAGGGAATCTCCTGGTCTGCAGTTGTGGAGATCATGGGAAAAGCGTAGTATCTGGGCCGGAATGCACCATTCCTCACGGCACAGTTCCTCACAGCTTCCCTTGGCTAAGGGAGGGAGTTTCCTGACCCCTTGCACTTCCCAGGTGAGGTGACACCCCACCATGCTTCTGCTTGCCCTCTGTGGGCTGCACCCACTGTCTAACTAGTCCCAATGAGATGAGCCAGGTACCTCAGTTGGAAATGCATAAATCACCTGCCTTCTGCATTGATCTCACTGGGAGCTGCAGACTGGAGCAGTTCATATTCAGTCTTCTTGCCAGCCACCTCCTCATGTTCTTGATTGTTTGATTTCAACTTCGATTTCATGAGATAGCCTAGTGTATTAGCCTATTCTCATGCTGCTATAAAGGACGGCCTGAGACTAATTATAATTATATAATTTATAAAGGAAGGGTAATTTATAAAGTAAGAGGTTTAATTGACTCACAGTTCTTCATGGCTAGAGAGGCCTCAGAAAACTTACAATCATGGTGGAAGGGGAAGCAAACACGTCCTTCTTCACATGATGGCAGGAAGGAGAAGTGCGAAGAAAAAGGGGGAAAAGCCCCTTATAAAACCATCAGATCTCATGAGAACTCACTCACTATCATGAGAATAGCAGCATGGTAACCACCCCCATGATTCAGTTACCTCCCACCAGGTCCCTCCTATGACGCATGGGGATTCTGGGAACTACAATTCAAGATGAGATTTGGGTGGGGACACAGCCAAACCATATCACCTAGAAACCTTCCAATAAATTATTTTTCCTTAAGCTAACAAGAGCCACTTTCTCTTGCTTCATGTTTTCTCTGATCTCCCAGAGTTTACCTTCAAGAGGAATTTAAAACACTTTAGCAAGAAGCAGCAAAACATGGTTGCTAAGTATTCTAAGAGAGAGAAGTGGAGTGAATGGACCATGTGAGTATGGGATCTAAGCCCATAGGTTGGGAATAAAAGTTGAGGAGAAGCAGGAATTAGGTGGGCATCAAGGGGAGCCAAATATTCTAGACACAGGCATGAGTTTGACAGCCCCGAGCCAAAAGAAAGCAAGACATGTTTGAGTAAATGAAAGCAGCTCAAAATGATTAACACATGTAAGTATATGAGAATGGGGATTCATGATAATAATGACTCATGTATTGAGAGTTTATGTTCCAGGCACTATTCTAGGTCATTAGAGGCAATAACTGATTTAGTTCTCACAATATTCCAGTGAAGTAGGTAACATTGTTGGGAGACATATCTCCCCGGGTCTCTTGAATTTCTGCACATCTTATGAGCAGAGGCACTGACAGTTTATGTTCCAGACTGGTATTTTTAAGGATTGCAAACAGCTTTCAAAGATAGAGATTATGTCTCTCCCAGAGCAGAGGGCAGATTTGTTCACTGTTATAATAAAGATACTATTTCATGCTGAGGCAAAGTTCAGGTGGATTTGCTCACAGCCCAGTTAAAAAGAGCTAGAATTCCTAAGCTCAGGGTTTGTTAGCTGTGATGCAACCCACTGTGTGTACAGCATCCAACTGGACTTGCCAGGATACGAACGCTTGTGAATGTGCTCTGGAGCTTATAGTCTTAACCACAGCAGTGAGACTAAAGAAGCAAAATGGAGATAAATCACACAGGGCCTTGTAAGTCCTGTTATACAATTTACATTTTATCCTAAGAGTAATAAAGAATCTACTAGTTTGAGTGGGTTAGCTGCTGTAACAATTAGACTTCAATATGTACATTGGCTGAAACTCAACAGAAAATCATTTCTTGCTCACGTAATAGTTTGAAGCAGAAGATTCAAACTATTACATTCAAACTGTCGGTGGGCAGTCCTCTTCTTAACGATGACTCAAGAACTCAGGCTTCTTCTGTCGTGTTGCTCCATCAACCCTTAGGGTCTTATCTTTTTCCAGCCAGAAGAGATAAGAAGACAGCATAGAAAACTACATTTATTTCTTAAAATCCATGGCTTGTAAGTGACCTACACTATTTTTGTTAACATTCCATTGTCAAGAGCTTCATCACATGGTCACACCCAGAAATAAGAATGGTCTGTCAAATGTAGTTGCAGCTTTCTGAAGATAACTCTATCCTACGGAAGGGGAACATATATTTTGGGGGACAGCTAGCCATCTGTGCCACAGGGAGCCACTCAAAGATTTAAACAAGTGGGATAACACATTTATACTGCAAATTACTGGCTGCAATATGGATATTTTTTGGAGCGAATAAGACAGGAGATGGGGGGGAAAAAACAGGGATTTATTGTAGTAATCTAGATAAGACACTAGACCAAACCAGACAAGAGAAAATAAACAGGAAAGAGGAAAGTAGACGAAGTCAAGAAATATTGAAGAGGTGAATTCTACAGGATGCTCTCTCCACTAAAGTACAACCATCCTCCTACCTAACCACTTATTTGCAGGCCTGTTTTGACCCTGTCCCTGATTCTATTTCTGTGTTTGTATTTGCAACACAATAATGAATGTTAAATGGGGTTGGAGGGGAGAGATAAAACTAACATTTTTAAAAATTCAAAATGAAGACTTTCAGGCAGGCTCACATCCTGACTTTCAGAGACACATACCAGATCCAGGGTTCCCTGCTCTACATGGCCCACTGCAGAAGGAACAGTGGAGCGGGGTATAACAAATAATTCATGTTTGAATAATCTATGCTTATTTAAGAAATATGTGTGTGTTGGTGTGTGTGAGGGCATGTGTTCTAGTTTCTAGTCTTCATAATAAAGACAATAGATAAGGATTTGGCAATGGCATATACTATATTTATATAATGATATAAAATGGAGTTTGGGTTCCCCAGAAAGCAACTCTGTGATGGAGATTGGCACACAGGAATTTTACGGGGGTGGGATTGCTCTCAGAGTCATCACTTGTAGAGGCACAAAAGGATTATTGCTTAGAGGAAGAAGTTGATCTAGGATACAATAGCAATTAGAGCCTCCGCTGATACTACACAGAGGTTGGATGGCCTTCAGAATTGTCCCCAACTGGGGCAAGGGCATTTGTATTCTTGAGTGAATCAGTCATATTGGGTGTGGACTGCCCTCAGGAAAAGGGCATGACCTTGGGCAAGAAATCTCTCTTTAGCCTGAGGGAAAGTCCTGGAGAAGAACTGAGCTAAGAGCTATCAGCTGCCAACGTTCCCAGAAGGTGGGGGAATAAACACCTGAGTTCTGGAAAGAAGAGCTCAGAACAGCCTACCTCAGTGTCTCCTATACAGGTACTTGCCGACTGACTCTGGCCTTGACCCCTGCCACACACATGCATGCATACACCACACACACATGCACACCCACATGCATACACACTTTGGTAATATGCAAGTGTTTCTAGAAATAAGATAATGTACTGTAACACAGGACTCATTTAACTAATATTTTACTGGAGTACATATTTCTTATCTCTCCTTTCATCTCATCCTAAAGAAATATGATATCCTTGGGGCAGATTTTAGTTTATCCCAAAATTAACAATATAATCCCCTCTCAGACCTCTCTCTAGTGTAGAATATGCAGTCAGGTATTAGAAAGAAACAGAGCTGGGGCTAAATCTTAATTCTGTAACATACAGTTGTGTGGTGATATACAAACCATTTAACCTCTATCACTCTTAATTTCATCATCTGTAATGCAGGGAAAATTAAAGCACTTTAGTGTTGTGAGGATAAAATGAGATAATGCAAGTAAAGCGTTTAGCATTGTCCTGGCACATAGAAAGCTTACAACAAGTGATACTATGATTAATACAGCATGGATTTAAATATACAGTGGGTCAAATCATGGCTGTTAGTAGAATAAGATCCAGCAAGGTTCTCCAAGAACAGAGGTAGCGAACATATTCCTGAAAGCTGCCTGTAGAGGAAGTCCAGTCATTTTGTTTCATCACTACAAATTCTCTGTTCCTCAGAGGCTTGCTCCGTATGAATCCTTGCTAACCTATGTATGGATGAATAAAGGTGAGATTTCAAAACACGATTGTATCTAGTCTTAGTCACAAAAAGCCTTACTCTAAACCCTGAGTAAGGTTGTGGTAAGAAACACAGGGCACCCCATTATCGTTAGTAACCACCAACAAAGGCTTTATTCAGGCATCACTTCCTGGCCTGGATTTTGGGTCCTTATTTCACCCTTCTGTGTCGATTTCCTTTTGTAAACCAGTTTTTAGGCTTCTCAGCTTCACTGTTTATAGCTATAAGAAACATTCACCAACTGTCTATGCAGGGAGCTCTTTGTGAATCTGGGACTGTTTCCTGTGCACACAAGTAGATGACATTTCCCAGCATCCCTTGCAGTCTGTGTGACCAGTTGACAAGTTCTAGCCAATGAAACATGAGCAGAAGCGGGGTATGCCATGACCAAGCAGGGTGACTAGCTGTCCCTATTTACCCAGGACTGAGGGGTTCCCCTGGATATGGAACTTTCTGTTCTAAAAGCAGTATATACAAAAGTTCCCTTTCCTGGCCAAAAATAAAAATAAAACCAGTATAATTTGAAGAAAATCAGGTTGAGTTGGTAACCCTAGTTCCTGGCCTAGCCCACAAAACTTCCTGCACATCACATCACTGCCATGTTTTTTCTCCTTTCAGTTGCTTAAACAGCCATCACAAACAGCAAGCTCGGAAGCTGTATTTTGAAGACAGCAGAGGCCCTTGTCAACCTACCCACAAGAAGAAGCCACCTTACTGTCACCCCATTGACTTGGAACATCCACTATGTGGAAAAGATACTTCTATTGTACTTAAGTCACCACAGCCTGGGCCTATTTTCACAGCACTTTAGCCTGTCCTGACTAATGCGCAGGCACTCTATAAACAGAGCTAAGACGCAGACTTTACAAACTTGAATAACACAAAGGCAGGCACACCTGAAATACATGCGCTAACTCTTGGGGAAAGTTTTTACAAGGAGAATCGAATTTCAAGAGAAATGAGAGGCAAGGAAGGAGAGGCTAACCCTCATTTTACCCAGCTCAAGTCCACCATGAGAAATTCCCAAATCTCCTCTCAGGGATTAATATTACTTTAATAAAATATATCACACACTTCAACCTTGCAGGCTGCTGTAGCAAACAGAGCAGGGATTAGAAGTCAGAATAAATAGGTTCACACCAACTGCAGCAGGTAGCAGCTGAGTGGTGGTTGTAAGTCAGTAACCTCTCTAGACCTCAGATTCCTCATCTTGGATATGAAGGTTTATTCTACTCTCTGATCAAGCATCTTCTATAAGCCAGTCCTGTGCCAGCTACTAGAGATACGAAGATAAGATATGATAAAGTCTCTCAAATAGAAAACAGGCTAGCAATGTCTTAAAGTGAAGTAAGGCTTTTGGTCACCTGGGACCAAAGCAAGAGGAAAAGAAGAGGGAGAGTTTTAAGTCCTCTCTCTCTTTTTTTGTGAGACTGGGTCTCACTCTGTCTGCCCACGCTGAGTGCGGTGGTGTGATCATGGCTCACTGCAGCCTCAACCTCCTGGGCAAAAGCAATCCTCCTGCCTCAGTCTCCTTAGTAGCTGGGACCACAGGTGCATTCCACCAGGCCTGGCTAATTAAAAAAAAAAAAAATTTTAGAGATGAGGTCTTGCCGTGTTGCCCAGGCTGGTCTGGAATTCCTGGATGCAAGTGATCCTCCTGCCTTTGCCTCCCAAAGTGCTAGAATTTTATGGGCGTAAGCCACTGTGCCTGGCCAGGTCTTCTCTTTATATTACTAAGTAGACCATGGCAATGAATAACTTTGCCAGGCTCTGGGATCTGTAAAGTGAAGAGCAAGGAGCAGAATCCAAGATGCAAGGAGTCTTATGAGCAGTAGGAAGTGAGATTTCCTCAGTCAGCAACCATTCAAACATTTATTCACTGCCTCCCAGTTGCTAGGCTTGTGCTATCCTCTGGATTCAAGGATGAGGAAGACACCTCCCCCTAGTTCTTCCTTGTTCAGTGGGGCAGCAAATAAATACACACTAAAAAACTAAGCAATGGGTGTCATGACCAAGGGGACACAGAGCGGGGCTTCTTATGTGGAATTGTGGGGCTTAGAGAAGGCTTCCCAAGGAGCTAAGCCATGAAGCACAAGTATGTGTTAGCCAGATGGAGGGAAGAGGGGAAGTGTTGGAAATAAGAGGGAACATGGTGACTTGGCCGAAGGGAGAGTAAGAGTGTGGAACAAGGAATGGTGCCAACGTGGATGCAGGAGCCAGAGGAAGAAAAGACCTGTCTTCCTCTTTTCTTCTCTCTCTTCCTCCTTCTCATCCTCCCTCTCTCTCTCCCTCCCTTCCTCCATCCCTCTCTCCCTCTCTTCCTTCTGTTTTTCTTTCAATGTTAAGGAGTTCGCACTTTATCCTTAAAGTTGTCAAAAGCCATGAAAGTTGTTTCAGCAGAGGTCTGAAATGTAGGAACGCCCTGACAGCAAGGAGGTGCAAGGATTAGACAGGAAGGAGGACCACTTAGTGGGGTCTGCGATCATCCAACCAGCTGGGAAATGACAAAGGCCTGAATCAAGGCAGTGACAGGTGAGAAGAGGAGCTTACGGCTATGAAGGTTTTCTGGGAGGCAGAATTTACAGGAGCTGGGGACTGTTTGCACCTGGGGCGTGTGTTGAATAGAACCTTGGAGGCAAGAGGCTTGGCTTATCCAGGGAGTCAGAGGTAAATAGCAAACTTCAGACATCAAAGGGCACAGTTAGATTGAAAAGTGAGTGAAAGTTGACTCTGTCTAAGGCTGTGAAGACATAAGGGACGACCTGGTAATACCCTTTAGTCAGGACAATAGAGAGCCCCAGATGACCTCAGGGAGGGCGGCTGCCTCTTGGGGGTGAAGTTGGGGAGTGAAAATTCTCAGTGGAAAAAAGGTTGCATAGCTCATCCACTAATGCAAAAGCTTGGCAATGTTTTAGCTTTTGGAAAAAATACAAAATGGCCCCGGTTCACTCAAATACACAAGACCCACTCTAGCTAATAGCCACGTTCTTGGGCTGTGATTTGACTAAGTAGTTTAAAAGATAGTTTATTTAATGTGGAGTCCTTTCGCTTTTAGGGTTCAGTATGTTTGAAACTGCTGTTTCTTTTCAAAGTTTCACAGCATCTCCAACTGTTTATAATTGGAAATTAAAATAAAAAACTGGAAAGGACAAAGAATTCATTTAACTAAAAAGGAAAAAAAAAGTTTGCTGTGTCTTAGGTGTTAGCCTTCCATGTGGACTAAACTGCTACCCTTTAATTTTCATGGTGTTCAGAAATTACAAGGATGTGGCCTGCAGTAGAAATTCAACAAAGTAATTGAATTAGAGAATTTAACTTGTCATTTGTGGTTATTCAAAAACCAGAGGATGTATTTCTCCAAGAAACCTGTCCTGGGGAGGTTTCTAGCCTATAGAAATGTGCTTTCTGGAAATTCAGAGAGAGTCTTAAAGACGTAAAAGTCAAATTACTGTTAACAGGAGAGAAGGCTGAAGCTGCTCCTAGCCAGCATGCCAAGCAAGGGTCAAAGGAGCAGCCAATGGCCGTGCCCAGACACTGTCTGCCCTAGGCCAGCATGGCCCCTCCCAGGACTAACATGGCGAGCCCCAGCAGAGAAGAAGCAGGGAGCAGGGGATAAGAGGGCAGGCTCTGCAGTCAGGCACATCCGGGTTTGAGACCTTCTTCTGCCACTTCCTAACCTGTCAGCTTGGCCATATTCCCCAACCTCTCTAGACATCAGTAGAACTTACTCTTCATCTATCAAAATGGAGCTAATGCTTCTTTCTTGGGGGAAAAAAAAACAACCTCAGTCCACCAATGTAAGTGACACACATGCTATCCTCTCTCAGGCTAGAAGCAATTTGGCTTAATTATATCTACTATTTACAGATACCATTTACATACCAAATTCTGCCAAAGATGCCAGGCATGGTGGCTCACGCCTATAATCCCAGTACTTTGGGAGGCCGAGACAGGTGGATCACCTAAGGTCAGGAGTTCGAGACCAGCCTGGCCAACATGGTAAAACCCCATCTCTACTAAAAATACAAAAAATTAACCAGGCTTAACCAGGCGTGGTGGTACATGCCTGTTATCCCAGCTACTCAGGAGGCTGAGGCAGGAGAATTGCTTGAACCTGGGAGGCAGAGATTACAGTGAGCCGAGATCATGCCACTGCACTCCAGCCTCGGTGACAGAGTGAGAATCTGTCTCAAAAAAAGAAAAAATAAATTCTACCAAAGAGAAGATTTTTATCTTTCAACAGGTGGGAGGCCCTTGGGTATTCTAATCCTAGTTGATCTACGCTCTGCTGTCACATCAAAACATCACTAAATGAAGTGGAAAATCCTCTGGCGTGTCCTCTTTAAAGTAAGGAGATGGGTTCTAGAGTATAGGAAGGGTTATGACCTCGGGGAGATGCTGTGACGACTACAATTTAGAAACTATATGCTGCATTGTAAATAGGATCATGTGCTTCTCACCAGCTACCATCCAAGATAAAGAGCATGACACAAAGCTTCAGGAACCCACAGGCAGGCATGTTTACACTAGCAAATTATAAGCAGATGAGTTCTGTTTATCTGCGTTTATAAAACTCAGCCTGGCCCAGATACAAAAGCTCATTAGGAATCTACAGTGTGCTCTAAGTTGTACCTGTGTTGCCAGGGTGCCAAAACAAAGGGCTGATTTAATGACCATAAACAATCAACTCAACTTGTTGTTTGACATATACAAAACTATACTGTAGACCATGTTCCAACAAAGCTAGAGTTGGCCAACTGAAGTTTTCTTTTTTCACTTGCCCAGGTATTACACAGACAGTCATGTTCCTAGAGCATATACCTAACAAGCCAAAATATTCAGGTTTAAAATTCAACTTCCCGCTATGCTTTGGATGGACTGTGATCTCAGTGGTCTTTTTCTTTGTGGACCAGCTGCTGATTAGGGCTGTCAGTCACAAAGCATAGGGTGTACTGTAACTAGCTTAAGCAGAAAAGCAATTTCTTGGAGAGTATTAGGTAACTTTTTCCAAAATCCCTAAGAAGACAAAGGGATGGGACTTGGTACTAAGCAGCCAGGAACCGCAGACTTACTGCAGTCCCAGTCCTGGGCACGGGACCCCACTGTCAGCCACCACTGCTGTCTCTGAAAGCTGCTGCCTTTTCATTCCACTCAGACTCCTCCATGGGAAGCAAAACCACACCTCAGCTACTTTCAGAAGAGGAGTGTATGGGTGGGCCAAGTCACATGCCATCATCCTAGTTCAAAAAAGGCTGGTAAGCTGAATTCTAATTCCTACATTGGAGAGGTAGGACTCAAGTGGGAATGCCCCTAAATATAGAATGACTGGTCAAAATGCAGTGGCCAGCCAAAGTATGACATGCGTATCCACAAAACCATAAAGTATATCTTTGTCTTACTTTTCTTGGAAACCATTTGGTTTATAACAAGATCAAAGTTTATAAGGATAAATATAGCAAGGTATCTCCTGGTTTTGAATTGACTTATGACTACAGTATGAACTCTAAATTCAAATAAATGTATATGCCACTAACAATCATTTTCCTAGTAGACTACCCAAAATGGGTCTGATCACCAGAGTTGATGTGGTCTGTGTGGTGCTGTGAAATAAGCAGCTTAAAAATGAAAAAGGTCTTACTCATTAATCTGTGTAATTTTTCACCTGGCTACATCACATGAGACTTTCTTTATAACAGATAAAACAGAAAGCTTCTCTCTTTGCCTAGTAGTTTATATTTCATGAATATCTGCTTCCACTTATATGTCCCTTTTTTCCCCTTAAAAAAACATGTTTTTAAAATTGTGCTTAGAAATCAGACCCAACTGTAAATCAGGGAAACAGCCCTTGTATACATTTACATCTATCAGGTTTCTGGGTTATACTAGTAATAGATGAAATAAAACTGAATCACCTCCCTGCATTCCACTAAAATGCTCATGAATTAAAATATGGCTACTTCAACCTATAAGCCCCCATCAGGCCAAATAGGAAAATGCTAGAGGTATTCTCGTTATAGTCAGGAATGAGAAAGGAACATCAACAATTAAATCATACAATTTTATACTTATATGAAGATAACTACAAAACCTCTCACTATGAAACAAATCAATTCCCTATGTGAAAATTAAAAGATAAGTATAAGCCAAAAAATTGGAAGGTAAAAACTTAATATTTTCTTTTATCTCCAGGTAAATACTTGTTAAACAAAAACAAGGAAATCATAAGGGAAAATAGTAGTACAGTTTATTATAAACAATTTTTAAACAACATTAATATGCCAAAAGTGCCATAAATAAAATTTTAAGTATAATAGCGCAAAGAGAAAATATTTGTAAAATGTGACAGTTCATTTGTATTTTCATCATAAATAATTCTTATAAATAATGGGACAAATAACCTACGAGGAAAATGGGCAAAAGACAAAAAAAAAAAAAAAACATGTCCCAACAGTATATTTTTAAAAATCCATCTTACTAAACCATAAAGAACTGAAGATTAATACAACCAAGTGAGTGCTGTGTTATTTTGTTAGACTGTCAAAGAGTTGTAAATGATAATACTATCATGAAATAAGGATTTATATGTCTCTGATTAATGTGAAAATTCATCAAAGAAATTCAGCAATTTGATTTGAATCTTGAAATAAAATTCATGCCCTTCGACCAAGTGTTAGGCCAAGTGTCAGGTTCCAGCCCAAGCTGAGGACTGAGGGGAGTGGGTAGACCAGTGGCAGGTAGCTGGAAGAATACTCAAGGAATCATAAACAGTTTCAACATGGCTTTTACTCTCTCTGGGTGTGAGCAAGCCCAGGTGCAAGCTGTGGGCATAAACCTGGGCACGAGCCTGGCCATGAGCCTGGCCTCAAGCCAACCTGGGTGCAAGCCATAAGTACATTCTCTCTCTGGGAGTGAGCCTGGGCATAACCCATATGTACAGCGTTAGCAGGGTAATTATACCATTTACAGACAACAGTGGCTCCGAGCCAAGCACAAGCTCACATGGGTGATCACCTAATGTGCCTCACATGGTGTGGTTTCATAATGTGCAGAGTTGTGCACCTGCACTCCAAACCCATTGAGTCATGCTACATTGGAAGGCCACCTTGGCCTACCCTTGACTGCAGCACATTCATTTTCCTTACATCAAGTCACTTTAATACTAATACTATTTACTCAGGAAATAATTTTTAAACAATAGACTCAACAACAATAAGCTAGACTATAGCAGAAGAGAACAAAAATGGAAGACAACATGAGGTAGCCAGCAGAGTTCCTTGTGAGAGCAAAAATGAGCCAGTTCCTGTGGAATTCATGGCCTATCTATCAGGAATTGTTGATGGAAAGGGTGCTGTGATGTGGCCATCACTGCTGATGGCCCAGGTATGGCTAGTGACACCCACCAGTGTCCAGGGAACTGATGATGAGGGATTCACAGCCACTGTCTCCTGATAGTCCCACTCCAGGTCTCTATGAGCATAGCAGGCAGTTTACAAAGGGAAAGTCTGTGAACATTTCAGCCTGGTACCGATCCATGTAAATTTGAACAGTAGATGTAACAAAAACTAAACCTTGAATTGTTGCTTATTAACAAACTATAAATTACCTACTACAAGAAATGAAGCCCAGTTGCCAGACCAACATAGGATATGGACAACTAACTAGATGAGGTCTCAGAAAAAGCAATGGAAGGCTTGCTGACTTAGAGTCTAATGCAACTTTAATGTAATCTTTATCAAGCAACTATGCTATAATTTCTCTGTCCATGTTCCATTAGAACATCCAAAATCATCTACCTGAACCATCAATCCCTTGCTGCCATTCTTGATGACAAGTTGGGATTTTCTAATTCAGTAAAAAAATAGAGTATAAGAAACTAGCCGCATGTAAAAACCCCAAGCTTAGACAATCTCTCACTGAGCCAGATAGAGGGAGCCTGGATAAAAATCAACACACTATGCCATCCATTGCAGCTATTATTAATTCAAAATTCCCCTAACACTTGTGACAAATTTTTAACATATCTAAAATTGATAGTTCCATGTGTGCCAAACACCCTTTATATGGCCTATGGATGCAAACAGACATTGTTGGCTTTGTTCAACTTTATGCCTTTCTCTATTTTACTCATTATACCTCAAACCACATTGTCACTTTCAGTTCCTCAAATACATCAAGCTTATTTCTTTCTTGAGATTTATGTACCTGCTGATCCCACCTCCAGGAATGCCGTTCCCTTGAGTCTTTACATACCTACTTACCCTTCAAGTCTCAGAACAAATGAGACGTTTCTTGACCTTTCTAGTGATTCTCAACTAGCCCTGTATAATTGGTTCTCAAACTTGGCTGTACATTGGAATCATCTGAGGTTTTTTAAAAACATTGATGCCTGCATCTCCTCCCCAAAAATTCTGATTTAATTTGTCTGGGGTAAAGTCTTGGCATTTAATTTTTAAAATACCCCCAGGTGATTCTAAATTGCATGAAATTTTAGAATCACTGGCCTATATCTTTTCACCATATTTGTTTCCTTTATAGCACTTTGCAGGCTATAATAGTGATTAATGTGCTTTTTTTAAATTTATTGGCTGTTGACCATAAAGGCAGGATTTATGTTTATTTTATTTATCACCAAAAGTATTTGATGAGTGAATACATAATGGAAAAAAATCACTGAGCATTTCATATTCGACATTAAAAAGTCATAGTAGCCCAAACTACCACTTCTGCAAGTTCAATGTTCCTATAAATCATCTAGCGTCTTGTCAAAATATGAATTCACATTCTGTATGATTTGGGAGAAGGCCGAGATTTTACACTTCTAACAAACTCCCACATTTTGGGTAGCAAGGGTCTAACATAATGTTTGCCCGAACATCCCTAAAAATAAGAGTCACTTGCAACCTCTAACTAAAAGAACAAATTACTGGTTCCCAATTCAGAATTACTTAATCAGAATTTCCATAGGAGGAGAATGGTAATCTGCATATATAATATGCATCCCAGCTGATTATTAACTTCAGGGAGGTTTGGTAAGCTGAAGAGTTACTCAGATACTATTACTTATTGTGTCTGTTTTCAAAAGTAATAAAAGGAAATTGCTAATTAGATTAGCAATTAACCCCCCTCCCCCCTATATATAAATAAAACTCTGGACAAAATAGAATGAAAAACTACCTGAAGATTCTGGAGAATAACAAAAGCAAGTAGATTCTGAAAGGAAGCTGACACTTGAGAAAAGAAACTGGTAAGGGGTTGCTTTTCCCTTTTTATGGCATTTAGTCCCAAATCAGTCATGCTGAAGTCTGTCGGTAAAGAGAAGCTAAAACTCTAATGAAAAAACAGAAGTCTAGGAGAACAGACTTCAGGGTAACCATGGTCACTTGATTATATAGGAGGAAGGCTAAAAAGTAGCGACCCAGAGGGAAAGAGCCCAAAATCTGTGTGCAAACTTTTGCCTGAATCTCTAGCTAAGCCCTGAACTGTGCATGGGTGGGTAGTCTGCAAGCAAACCACCTAAGGATAAAACAACTGAATGGAGATTTGAGTAACTGCCAAGAGGCATAGTTTGCAAGTTTAAGTCTAACAAACTTCACTGGCAACCAAAATAAAATTGCCAACATTCTTAAGAGGATTATAATTGAATCCAGTCTCCATAACACAACATTCACAATGTCCAAGATAGAAATCAAAATTAGATACAAAAAGACAAATATTGTGTTATTCTACTTATGTAAGGTATGTAGAATAGGCAAACTCATAAGGACAGAACATAGAAGTTACCAGGGGCTGGAAAAAGGGAGACTGAGACTCTGGAACTCTTTAATAAACAGAGTTTCCATTGGGATGATGAAAAAGATCTGGAGATGGACAGTGGTGATGATTCCACACATTGTGAAGTACTTATTGCCACTGCAATGTACCCTTAAAAATGGTTAACATTATACATTTTATATTGTGTATGTTTTGCCATAAAATAGAAAATAAACCCACTATAACAGAAATGAAGCCTGCTTTCAGTAGATCATCAGTAGACTGAGCACAGGTTAGAAAAGAAGCTGTGAGCTTGAAGATATGTCAACAGAAAATTCCAAAATGAAGAGTAAAGAGAAAAAAGAATGAAATAAAAAGGAATAGAATATCCAAGAACTATGGGACAATTATAAAACTGTAGGACAATGATGCAATATATGTGTAATGAGAATGCCAGAAAGAGAAAAAAGAAGAGAAAGAAACAGAAGAAATATTTTAAGTAATAATGGCTAAGGATTTTCCAAAATTAATGTCAGACACCAAAACATGGATTCAGGTAGCTCAGAGAGCAACAACCAGGATAAACACCAAAATATCTATACCTAGGAATATCATATTAAAACTGCAAAAAAAATACAAAGAGAAAATGTTGAAAAAAGCCATAGAATAAAAATACTTATAGAGAAACAAGAATAACAATTACATCAGACTTATCTTCAGAAATCATGGCAGCAAGAATAATGTGGAGGGAAATATTTTAAATGTTGAAAGAAAAAAACCCACTAAGTGAGAATTCTGTTTCTACTGAAATTATCCTTCTAAAGTGAAGAAGAAATAAAGATTTTCTCAGGCACACAAAAATTGAGATAATTTGTTGACAGTATAACTGCTTTACAAGAAATATTAAAAGAAGTTCTTCAGAGAGAAGGAAAATGATATAGGTTGGAAACTCAGACCTACGTAAAGAAAGGGAGCTGGTGAAGGAATAAATGAAGGTGAAATAAAGTCTTTTATTTTTCTTGTTCTCAATTGATTTAACAAACAAGAGTTTATTCAAAATAATAATAGAAACAATCATTGAGTGATTATAATTTATAGAGAAGTGAAATGCAATACAATAAGGTAGAGAGGGAGGGACTTAGGAATATTCTGTTACAAGGGCTTGCACTAGTCATGAAACAGTATAGTATTATTTGAAATTGGACTTGGATTAGTTGTAAATGCATATTGCAAACTCTAGGGGAACCACTAAAAAAGTTGTTTTTTTTTTAAGAAGGATAATATATATGATAGAAAAGGAGAAGAAAGAGAATCATATAAAATGCCCAATTAAAATCAGTGAAGGCAGGAAAAGTATGAAAGACAAAAAAGAAAACCATGGCAACAAATAGAAAACAGATACAAATATGGTTGATATTGATCCAACTATATCAATAATCACTTTATATGTGAATGGTCTAAATACACCCATTAAAACACAGAGGCTATTGGAGTGGATAAAATGAACAAACAAACCAAAAAAAAAAAAAAAAGACCCAACTATATTTTGTCTAAAATAAATCCACTTCATATATATGAAGACATAAATAGATTAACAGTAAAATAATGAAGATATACTATGCTGACACTAATCAAAAGAAAATAGAAATAACTATATAGATTCAAATAGAGCAGACTTCAGAGTAAATAAAAATTATCAGGTATAGAGAAAGAACACTTTATATAACAACAAAGGGGGTCAATTCTCCAAGAAAACATAACAACCTCCCCCGCCCAAAAAAAGCCATAACAATCCTTAATATGTACATACCTAAAACAGAATGTCAAAATACATGAGGCAAAAATCAATAAAACTGCAAACTAAAACTATTATAGCTGAAGACTTGAACACCCCTTTATCAGTAATTGAGAGATCCAACAAGCAGAAAAGGACATAGTTGAACTGAACAGCACCATCAATTAACCAGATCTAAATGCCATTTATAGAATATTTCATCAAACAACAGCAGAATATACATTCTTTTCAAGGTCACATGAAACACCCATCAAGATAGATCACATTTGGGGCCATAAAACACACCTTAACAAATTCTGAATAATAATAGAAATCATACAGAGTATGTTCTCAGACCACAATGGAATTAAACAAGAAATCAATAATAGAAGGATATCTGGAAAACCTCAGAATATTTGGAGATTAAACAAGATATGTGTAAATAACAGATAGGTCAAAAAATCTCAAGAGAAACTTAAAAATATTTTGAACAAAATGAAAATGAAAACACAGTTTATCAAGATTTGTGGGGTGCAGTGAAAGCAGTGCATAGAGGGGAACTGAGAACACTGAATGTATGTATTAGAAAATAAGAAAGATTTAAAATAAATCTAAGTTTTTACCTTAAGAAACTAGAAAAAAATAAACAATGAAAACCTGAAGCAACAGAGAGAAATAATAAAAATTAAAGCAGAAATCAATGAAATTAAAAAACAGGAAAACAATAGAGGAAATCAATGAAGCCAAAGTGTCTCTTTGTAAAGATCAATGTTAGTGACAAACTTCTAGCCAGGCTAACCGAGGAAGAAAGAGAGGTGACACAAATTATCAGAATATGAAATATCAGAATGAAATAATATGAGAAATGTAAAAAAAAGAGGAATACCGGTGGTGTAATTCAGTCTTGAGTTTGAAAGCCTGAGAACCAGAGGAGCCCATGGTGTAACTCCCAGTCTGAGGCCAAAGGCATGAGAACTAGCGAATGGGAGGAGGAGTGAAGGTAGGTGAGGGTGTATGAGCCCCAGAGTGCAAAGGTCCAAGTACCAGGAGCTCCAACGTCCAAGGGCAGGAGAAGATGATGTCCTAGCTCAAGAAAAAAAAGAGAGAAAATTTTCTTTTCCTCTACCTTTGTGTTCTATCCAGACCCTCAATGGGTTGGGTGTTGCCCACCCACACTGGTAAAGGCAGATCTTCCTTAGTCTACTGATTCAAATGCTAATCTCTTCCAGAAACACCCTCACAGACACATCCAGAAATAATGCTTTACCAGCTATCTGGGTATTTTTAGCCCAGGTAGTCAAGTAGATACACAAAATTAACTATTACAAAAGGATAATAAAGGAATATTATGAACAACTCTGCCCAGAAATTCTTTGAATGAGACAGTCTATGAAAATTCATACAAGGAAAAATAAACAATCTCAATGGCTCTATATTTATTTAAAATTTTGATTCAATAATTAATCATCCTCCAAAAAAGAAACACCAAGCTGATGGTTTCAATGCTGAATTCTACCAAACATTTAATGAAGAAATGATATCCATTCTCTACAATCTCTTCAAAAATATACAAGTGAAGATATTACTTCCTAATTCATTCTATGAGACCAGCATTACCAAAGCTGGATAAAGACATTACAATAAAGGAAAATTACAGACCAATATCTCCCATGACAGATATAAAAATCTACAACAAAATATTAGCACGTTTAATCCAACGGTGTTCTTTGAAAAAAAGAAATATGCACCACAAGCAAGTGGAATTTATTCTAGGTATGTATGGCTAGTTCAACATTCAGAATTCCATTAATGCAATCTATCACATTAACAAGCTAAAGCAGAAAAATCGTATGATCATATAAATATATGCAGAAAAAGAACTTGACAAAATCTAACACTCACTCATGATAAAAGCTCTCAAAAAAAAAACCAGGGATAGAGGGGAACTTCCTCAGCTTGACAAAAAAAAAAAACTATTTAAAAAAAAACACAGCTAACATTATACTTTAATGGTGATAAATGAGGTGCTTTCCCCCTAAGATCAAGAAGGTAAGGATGTCCCTTCTCACCATTTCTACTCAACATTAACCTGGAAGCCCAGGCTCATGGCAGTAAGATAAAAAAAAGGGAATAAAAAGTATGGATATTGAGAAGGATGAAATAAAACTCTTTTCTCACAGATAACAGATTTGCTACGTAGAAAATCCCAAAGAATCAACAAAAAAAACTCCTGGAACTAATAAGCAATTATAAAAAAGTTGTAGGACACAAGATTAATATAAAAAGTCAGTTTCTTTCCTATATGCCAGCAACTAACAATTAGAATTTTAAATTAAACACACATAGCATTTTCATTGGCAGCATAAAAATTAAACACTTATGTATAAACTTAGCAAAGTACATATAAGATCTACATAAGAAAAAGCATAAAACTCCGATGAAAGAATTTAAAAGATTTCTAAATAAATGGCTATACTGCTCCACATTCATGGATAGGAAGACTCAATATTGTCAAGATGTTAGGGTTTCCCAACTTGATCTATGGATTTAATGTGATCCCAATCAAAATGCCAGCAAGTTATTTTGTGGATATCAACAAACTGATTCTAAAGTTTATATGGAGAAGCAAAAGACCCAGAAAAACCAACATAATACTGAAGAGGACTGATATTACCTAACTTTAACACTTAGTACAAAACTACAATAATGAAGACAGTATGGTATTGGTAAAAGAATAGACAGTACATCAATAGAACAGAATAAAGAGTTCAGAAATAGACTCATACAATACAGTTAATGGATCTTTGACAAAGAAACAAGGGCTATTCAATGGAGAAAGCATAGTCTTTTCAATAGATGGACCAGAAACAATTGAACATCCACATGCAAAGTAGTGAATCTAGACCTTACACCTTTCACAAAAATTAACTCAATGGATCATAGGCCTAAATGTAAAATGTAAATTTATAAGACTTCTGGAGGCCGGGCGCGGTGGCTCACGCCTGTAATCCCAGCACTTTGGGAGGCCGAGGCGGGCGGATCACGAGGTCAGGAGATCGAGACCACGGTGAAACCCCGTCTCTACTAAAAATACAAAAAATTAGCCGGGCGCGGTGGCGGGCGCCTGTAGTCCCAGCTACTCGGGGGGCTGAGGCAGGAGAATGGCGTGAACCCGGAAGGCGGAGCTTGCAGTGAGCGGAGATCGCGCCACAGCACTCCCGCCTGGACGACAGAACGAGACTCCGTCTCAAAAAAAAAAAAAAAAAAAAAGACTTCTGGAATTCACACAAGACAAAGTATAGGTAACCTTGCATTTGGCAATTATTTTTAGATATTAGAGACTGAAAAAACAAGCCACAGGCTGGGAGAAAATATTTACAAAACACGTGTCTGATAAAGAACTTGTATCTAAAATATACGAAGAACTCTTAAAACTCAACAAGAAAAACAATCCCATTGAAAAATGGACAAAATATCTGAATAGACATCTCACCAAAGAACATATACAGATGGCAAATAAGTATATGAGAAGATGTTCAACATTATATGTCATTAGGGATTTGCAAATTAAAGCAACAAGGAGATACCACCACACACCTATTAGAATAGCCAAAATCCAAAACGCTGACACCACCACATGCTGGGGAGGGTGTCAAACAGTTGGAACTCTCATTCACTGTTGGTGGTAATGCAAAAAAATACAGTCGTTTGGAAGACAGGTTGGCAGTTTCTTACAAAGTTAAAACATAGTCTTACCATACAATCCAGCAATCCTATTCCTAAGTATTTATGCAAATGAGCTGAAAACTTACATTCACACAAAAACTTGCACACAATATTTATATCAGCTGTATTCATATTTGCTAAAAACTGGAAGCAACCAAGATGGCTTTCAGTGGGTGAATTGATAAGCAAGTTGTGATACAGCCAAATTCACTAAAATAAAAATGCAATTTACTTTTAAATTAAAATTTTTTAAATTAAAAATTACATTTTAAAATACCAAATCAACAATTTATATAATATAGATAAATTCTTTGAAAAATATCCATGAACTAGAAAATCTGAACAACTCTAAATATTTTTTTAAAGAAAGTGGATTCATAACCAAAATCTTCCCACTAAGAAATCTCTAGGCCCATACAGTTTCATTAGTGAATTCTATAAAATTTTCTGGGAAGAAATAACACCAATTTTACGCAAGTGCTTTCTGAAAATCGAGGAGGATGGAACCCCTTCGAACATGTTTAATTAGGTTAGCATACCCTGGTACCAAAACCTGACAAAGACATTACCAAAAAGAAAAGTTCAGATAAATATCCTTTCTGAACATAAATGCAAATATACTTAACCAACCTACAGCTAATTGAAGCTAGCAATGTATTTAAAAGATTTTACCTGATAGGGATATGCTAGGAGTGGAAGGTTGGTCTAACACTTTAAAAATCAATGTAATTTTTCATATTAACAAAATAAAAGAAAAAAGATGATAATTTCAATAGATGCAGCAAAAGCATCTGACAAAATCTTATGTTCATTCCTGATTGTAAAAAAAAACTCTCAGCAAACTAGAAATAAAAGGGAACTTCCTCAATCAGATAAAATCATCTATAAAAAACCTCTGCTTAACATCTATACTTAATGTGAATATTGTCCTGTAAGACTGGAAATAAGACAAGCATGTACACTTCATTGCACATTGTCCTGGAAATCCTAGTCAATGCAAGAGGACAGGTTTAAAAAAAATGAAAGGAATAAATATTGGAAAGGAAGAAATAAAACTGTCTCTATTTCTGGATGACACATTGTTTACACAGAAAATCCTAGGACATCTATTAAACAACTATTAAAATAAGTAAATAAGTGAGGTTAGCAAGGTTGCAGAAATCATAATCAATATACAAAAACCAACTGTAATTTTTCATAATAAAAATATAAACAATTAAAAATTGACGTTTAAAAATTGATATTATTTATAATAGCATCAAAAACATAAAATACATAGGAATAAATTTAACAACAGACATGCAATTCTTCTATACTAAAAACTACAAAACATTTGTAAGAGAAATTTTAAAAGATCTAAGTGAATGGAGAGATTGAGCATATTTATGGATTTGAAGTTTAATATTCTTATGATATCAATTCTGCACACACTGTATAGATTCAGCACAATCTCAGTCATCTCAACAGGCCTTTTAAAAAATAGAAGTTGACAAGCTGACTCTAAAATGTGTATTGAAATGCAAAGGACCTAGAACTGGGCAGTCTAATACATACAATAGCCAGAGTTGGCTGTTTATATTTAAATTTTAATTAGTTAAAATTAAATATAATTAAAAATTTATTTCTCCTTTCTCATTAGCCATATTTTAAGTGCTCAATAGCCGCACAAGGCTAGAGACTGTCGTATTGAACAGCATAGATATACACCTTTTCTATCATTGCAGGAAGCTCTATTAGAAAGTGCTGACCTAAAATATCCAAAGCAATTCTAACAAATAACAAAATTGGAAGACTTATACTACCTGTCTTTAAGACTCACAATAAAGATTCACTCATCAAGAATGTGTGATATGCACATAAGGATCAACAAAATAATCAACAGAACGGAAGAGAGAGCCCAGAAATAGACCCCTATTTATGCCGTTATTTGATTTTCAACAAAAGCTCTAAAGCAATCCAATGAAGTAAAATAAATCTTTTCAAGAAATAGTGCTGAAATAACTATCATTATAAATAAAATGAACAACCACCTCTATGTCACACTATATACAAAAAATAATTTGAGGTGTATTCTAGTCTTAACATAGCCAAAATCACAAAGCTTTTATAGGAGAACATAAAAAAAAAATCTTTTTGACTTGAGAGTAGGCAAAGTTTTCTTAGGTTACTAAAAGCAATAACAATAGAAGAAAAATTGATAAATTAGACTGCTGGTGTGCACCTGTAGTCCCAGATCCTCTGTAGGCTGGGGTTGGAAGATCGCTTGAGCCTGAGAGGTGGAGGTTGCAGTGAGCCATGATCACACCACTGCACTCCAGCCTGGGTGACAAATCAAGACCCTGTCTAAAAAACAAACGAACAAAAAGCCACATACTAGAAGCAAACATTCACTAAACATATATTTGACAAAGGACTGGTACCAAGACACATAAAGAACTTCTACAACATAGTAAAACAATCCAATTTTAAAATGGTTAAAAGATTTAAACAAACACTTTACAGAAACACACACACACACACACACACACACACACACACACACATATATATATATATACGGCCGATTAGTACATGAAAAAGTGTTCGACATCACTAATCTCACAAATACAAATTAAAACCAATTGAGATACCATAACACTCCCATTCACACAATTCAAAGAGGTAGACACTGTTATTATTCCCATTCTACAAAGAGAGAACCAAGATATGGATAAGTAGTCATTTGCTTAAGGCAATATTTAGCAAATGGTGGAGCTGAGACTTAAACTCAGGCTGTGTAGTAGTAACTCTGTCATGATGACACTCTATGAAAGTATTTTCATCTGGGTCTTCTGTTTCTCTAGTGCCCGCTTCCCTGAAAAGAAGAAAGGAAAAAAGAGGAAGAAAGAGAGAGAAAGAGAAACGGAAGTAAGGAAGGGAGAAAGGAAGGTTGCTTCAGTCTCTCAGAGGCAAATCCTCTTTCCAGTTGCCTGCCCAGAAGCACTGTGGCCTCAGCCCTTTCAGGTGAGTTGTGCCCTAAAAGTCTTCCCTCCAATCTCTCAAAGAACTATGAGTAAAAGAAGATTGGTCTCAGAGCCTTGCTCTGTCTAGACAAAGAGCATAATACAATCACTCATTTTTCAATTGATATTGACCTCTGCAGTTTCACATGCTATATTCAGCAGTTAATAAACCTCTAGAATTCATTAAAACTGCTCTAAGTTCCTGGAAAAGAAAAACTAGTCATTGGAACATTTACAGCTGACTGAGCCCAGAAAGTGCATTATAGTTTCATTTACAAGTAAAATTCCACCTTATCATTTGCCTATAATAACTACGTCACCAATAATAATGAGGCTGTGCTTGTTTTTCTTCCTTTTCCCAACCATTACACATAGGAAGAGGGTAAGACTCTGTCTTAAGCACAAATAAAAATAAAAGAAAATGTACTAACAGGGATTTATAAGAATTAAAATTATAACTATGTGTTAGATGAATAGAACAAAATATTTGGTTAGACACTGGCTTTCCTAGTGTAGGATATGCAGAGCACTATAGGCATTTGCAAGTGAATGTGGAAGGAAAAGTATCAAGTATGCTCTCTGCAAAGATTGAGGGTTTTTTGGTTGTTTTGTTTTGTTTTTCAAGACAGGGTCTCACTCTGTCACCCAGGCTGGAGTGCAGTGGCATAATCTTGGTTCACTGCAGCCTCGACCTCCTGGGCTAAAGAGATTCTCTTACCCCAGCCTCCTGGGTAGCTGGGACCACAGGTTTGTGCTACCACAACCAGCTAATTTTTGTATGTTTGTAGAGATGAGGTTTCACTATGTTGCCCAGGCTAGTCTTGAACTCCTGAGCTCAAGCAATCCACCTGCCTCAGCTTCCCAAAGTTCTGGGATTACAGGCATGAGCCACCATGCCTGGCTGTTTTGTTTTGTTTTGTTGTGTTTTAAGACAAGGTCTGGCTCTGTTACCCAGGCTGGAGTGCAGTGGCATGATCATAGCTCATGCAGCCTTGAACTCCTGGGCTCAAGCTATCCTCCTGCCTCAGCCTCCCAAGTAGTTAGGACTACAGGTGCACACCAGCACCCCCCAGTGAACTTTTAAAACATTTTGTAGAGACAGGATCTCTATGTTGCTCAGATTGGCCTTGACCTCCTAGTCTCGAGGAACCCTCCTACCGGAGCCTTCCAAAGCACTGAGATTACAGGCCTGAACCACCACTCCTAGCCAACATCGAGATTTTGGATGAGGTCAAATGTGACTTCTGGAGAGAAACTGTTGAAACTGACAAATTTGAGAGGGTTAAAAAACAATGTCCAGAGGAGCTTCTCTCGGCCTTTCCATAAACTGCTGTTAGTATTTCTCAGGCTTATGGCTACTCCCTTAAGAAGATAGTATTGCAGCTGGTGTGACCAGTGAATTGGAAACTATTCTATTAATAGTTTCAAAGTACCTTGCTTTATCCTCTAATTGGCACATACTCACAAGAATCAATTGATGAAAACAGCCTCTCTGCTCAAATCTGCAGCCGTTTACTCATGAAATGGAACACATCCAACCAAAAACCATCAGGAAACTGCTGTCCAGGAAAAACCTGGAAATTTTGGGCCAGTCTCTGAACATCCAATGTGGGGTATCATGTCCTGAGGCCAGTTGATGTTTCAAAGGAGACCCAAAGATATGAGATCTGATTGCCAATGTTTTTAAGGGGTTTCCCTGAAGAGCTCAAAACAAATCTAGTCATTTAATGATGGAATAAGTAAATGGTGACTAGAGAGAAGCATTGCCAATGCTCTTATTTGTAACATCCTTGCAGTCCCAGGGTTCTTCCTCAGATCACAATGTGTCAAAATGACTTCTTCAGAATGTTGAGGAGTATCTTGCCTCCAGAAAGTTTACCATTTAGTTGACCTTCCCCAAGCACCAGTCACAAGTTTTGCTGTGTCAGTTTGGTCAAGGTACAAAAATCTTTGCATCCAAACCTCTATACCTCCAAGTAATAAAATTTTTAACAATTAATTTCAACTCTGGCTCTTTGCTAATATATAACACTACCATTGTTTGACCAGTTATTAGGTACATGACAATCTACTAGAAATTCTACAGGCAATAATTCCAATATATATAACATCCTGATGTGAGCTACTATTATCCCTGTTTTGGAGGTCAGCAAACAGAGTTCAGAGAATTGAGATTATTTGCCCAAACTAGTCTACAATGCAATAAATGGTAGACATTGAATTTTGATTCAACTTATTCTTCCTTCAAAGCCTCTGCTTTTTCTCTTAATGTAACAGCTGAAGTGGATTGGATCAGCTTATGTGGGTCGTGTCTATAGGATTCAGAATTCATGTCCAGGGCAGGTGTCATCATCCCCAGTAAAAGACAGTTCACAAGTGCTGTGCACATGGAGAAAATGAACTACCATCATCCAGCTCCTAATACTGCAAACCCAAACATCAGTGATGCCTCAGTGAGCAGTGGGGCCTGGCTTTCTAATCAGGGCAATATTAGCCTGACACCCAGACTATTATCAATGCTGGTGCCTGGTGGGTGTGTCTGTTATCATAAAGCCCACAGCCAAGCTGGTTGGGCTCACTTGCTATTCATGACCACAAATTCACATCCTACCATCTCACTCCTCAAGTCACAAAACCAGACTTCCTTCTCTACCACAGCACTGAAATGACCATAGTCAAGCTTACCAATAAGCTTCATGCAGTGAGACACAAAGGCAACTTTTTGGTCCTCACCTTCCAGAGGTATTGACATAACTACCCACCATATCTTTGAAATTCTCTTCTCTCTGGGTGTCTATAGCCCCGCCCTCAGCTGGGCTCTATTGACTACTCATTCTCCATCTCCTTTAGTGACTTTTCCCTTGGCCCAAACTCTAAATGTCTTAACATGACACGGTCTCAGACCCTCTACTCTTTCCTAACTGTGATCTCTCCCTAAAGTATAACTTTTAAAAAAATCCCATTGAGTACAAGCATATATATCCCACCACCACAGATGCAGAAATCCTCAATAAAATACTAACTAACCAAATCCAGCAGCACATGAAAAAGCTAATTCACCATGATCAAGGAGGATTTATTCCTGGGATGCAACATATGCAAATCAATAAATGTGATTCATCACATAAGCAGAACTAAAAACAAAAACCACATGGCCATCTCAATAGACAGAGAAAAGGCTTTGGATAAAACTTAATATCCCTTCATGTTAAAAAACCCTTAAGGAACTTAGCAACAAAGGAACATAGCTCAAAACAATAAGAGCTGTCTATGGCAAACTCACAGACAACATTGTGCTGAATGAACAAAAGCTGAAAGCATTCCCCTTAAGAAAACCAGAACGATACCCACTCTCACCATTCATGGGTTTTTAAAAATTTTTTTAACTTTTATTTTAGGAACCAAAGAAGAGCCCAAATAGCCAAAGCAATCCTGAACAAAAAAAAAAGAGTGGGAGGCATTATGTTATCAACTTCAAACTATGTTACAAGGCTACAGTAACCAAAACAGTATGGTACTGGTACAGAAAGAGACATATAGACCAACGGAACAGAATAGAGAGCCCAGAAATAATGCCTCACCACTCCTATTAAACATAGTACTAGAAGTCCTAGCCAGAGCAATCAGGTAAGAGAAAGAAATAAAAGGCATCCAAATAGAAAGTGAGGAAATCAAACTATCTCTCTTCACAGATGATATGATTCTATAACTAGAGAACCTCATAGTCTCTGGCCAAAGTCCCCTAGAACTCATAAACAACTTCGGTAAAGTTCCAGGATACAAAATGAATATACAAAACTCAGTAGCATTTCTATACATTGATAACATCCAAGCTAAAAGCCAAATCAAGAACACAATCCTAGTCCCAATAGCCACAAAAAGAATAAAATAACAGGAATACAGCTAACCCAGGAGGTGAAAGATCTCTACAATGAGAACTATAAAACACTGCTGAAAGAAATCAGAGAAAACACAAACAAATGGGAAAACATTCCATGCCCATGGATAGGAAAAATTAGCATTGTTAAAGTGGCTATATTGCTCAAAGCAATTTACAGATTCAATACCATTACTATCAAACTACCAATGACATTTTTTTCACAGAATTAGAAAATACTATACTAAAATTTATATGGAACCAAAAAAAAGCCCAAATAGCCAAAGCAATCCTAAGCAAAAAGAATAAAGCCAGAGGCATCACACTGACTTCAAACTATACTACAAGGCTACAGCAACTAAAACAGTATGGTACTGGTACAAAAACAGGCACATAGGCTGATGGAACAGAATAGAGAACCCAGAAATAATGCTGCATACCTACAATCATCTGATCTTTGACAAAGTTGGTAATAATAAGTAATGGGAAAAGGACTCCCTATTTAACAAATGGTGCTGGGATAACTGGCTAGTCATATGCAGAAAATTTAAACGGGACCCTTTCCTTTCACCATATAAAAAATCAACTCAAGGTGGATTGCAGACTCAAATTTAAAACTTAAAACTATTAAATCTGTAGAATAAAACCTAGAAAATGCCATTCTGGACATAGACCTTGACAAAGATTTCATGACAAAGTCTCCATGACAAAGTCTCCAAACACAATTGTAACAAAAATGAAAATAGACAAGTGAGACCTAATTAAACTAAAGAGCTTCTGCACAGCAACAGAAAGTATCATCAACAGAGTAACAGAAATCCTACAAAATGGGAGAAAATATTTGCAAACTATGCATCCAGCAAAGGTCTAATATACAGAATTTATAAGGAACTTAAACAAGTCAACAAGAAAAAAGCAAACAACCCCATTACAAAATGGACAAAGGACATGAACAGATGCTTTTCTGAAGAAGACATACATGCAGCCAACAAGCATATGAAGAAATGTTCAACATCACTAATTTTTAGAGAAATGCAAATCAAAACGACAATGAGATACCATCTCACACCAGTCAGAATGGCTGGTCAAAAAAGAACAGATGTTGATGAAGAGGTTGCAGAGAAAAGGAAATGCTTATACACTGTGATGGGAATGCAAGTTAGTTCAGTCACTGTGAAAAGCAGTTTGGAGATTTCTCAAAGAACTTAAAACAGAATTACCTTTTGACCCAGAAATCCCGTTACTGGGTATATACCCAAAGGAATATAAATCATTCTACTATAAGGACACATGTAGGCATATGTTCACTGCAGCACTATTTGCATCAACCTAAATATCCATCAATGGTGGAACAGATAAAGAAAATTTGGTACATATACACCATGGAATACTATACAGCCATTAAAAATGAAATAATATCCTTTGCAGCAACATGGATGTAGCTGGAGGCCATTATCCTAAGGAAAATAATGCAGGAACAGAAAACCAAGCATGCATGTTCTCACTCATAAGTGGGGGCTAAGTACCCATGGACACAAAGATGGGAAGAATAGGCACACCAGGGCCCACCTGAGGGGGGAAGGTGAGAGGAGGGTGAGGGTCAAAAAACTACCTGTTGGGTACTATGCTTACTATTTGGGTGACAAAATTATTTGTACACTAAACCCCAGTGTCATGCAATTTACCTGTGTAACAAAAGTGTACACATACCCCCTGAATCTAAAAGTTAAATACCAAAAAAAGAAAGAAAATAAACAGAAAGTTTTCCAAAGATGTTGTATCTTTTAAAATCCACTTTCAATTTCTTCAAACTGCAGTATAACACTATTTGGTAGTCAAACATCCAGGAGTCATTCATTAATACATACATAAATAAATATTTAGTGTGAAGTACAATAAGGAGAGCACTCAGAGAAAAGCTCCAACGCCCCACCTCTCTCCAGGCCAACTCCCTGCTCCTCTGCCCCTTGGCACATGGAAGAAGAGGGCCTGAATGTCCACTTTGCCAGAGCAGAGGGAAGGGCACCTCTGGTCACTTTAATCTTTCCCACCATGTGCTTCCTTGATGAGTAAAAAACTAGAAGCCAACATTCCAAGTAGAATGGCCTGGGTTCTGTCTTGTGTTGAGCATTCTGGCTCATGCTCGAAAGCAGATAAAGAGTGGCACATGCCTGTGGCTATTTCAGAATCTCAGAGATGTGCAGGAGGCTGTCCCTCTGAGAAAATGGAGCAACAACTAATGTATTATTCATATATTTGAGCTTCCAGAAGAAAGGTCTACTCCGAGGACAGATTTTTTTCTGCCATTAATGACCACTTTTTAAAACAGATATCTGATGGCAATGTCATTTGGGGGCTCTTTGGGTACCTATTTCCCATCAAGATTAAATAGATTTACCTGATCAAGGGCTAAGAGGAAATAAACCTAATGCCCACAGACATTTTCAATTACCAATGTTTAGTTAGGGAATACTCTAGCATCTTTTTACAGTTAACTTAGTAAGGCCTTTGAACAACTTCAACCATTCTTGGGAATAATCACCTTTCTGTTGAGTGATGGCAAAAGTCCAAGCACTAGAAGAATGATATATTGGACTTTGGGGCCTCAAAGGGAAGGGTGAGAGGGGGGTGAGGGATAAAAGACTACACATTGGGTACAGTGTACACTGCTCAGGTGACGAGTCCACCAAAATATCAGAAATCACCACTGAAGAACTTATCCAAGTAACCAAACACCACCTGTTCTCCAAAAACCTATTGGAAAAAAAAAAAACAAAACAAAAGTCCAAGCACCGTGTCCCTCAATATCTAAGACACATGTCAACCCAGCACGGACAGCCAAGGGAACAGGCACCGGTACTTAAGCATCTTAGCCCCACTCAGACCCCTTGAGTTCGATTCCATCCTGGCCCTTCCAGGGCTCTATCAACCCTTAACAATCCTAAAACACCTAACCCCTGAAGTCATTCTGGAAAAGAGGAAGAGTTTCCCAAGGGCCAGAGAAGAAGTCTTAGAAACTAGAGAAGGTAATGACCCCCTAGAATCTTCTTGATGCAAAAACAAGCCACCAGGATGACCAAAGGGCAGTGCAGTCTTCTCACAGCATCCTCTGACTTAGACCTGGGCTGCTCAGCTTTCTCAGAGCTGAAGACTCCAGGACTTTCTGAATCTAGATTCACATTTCCAAAAGGAGTATATGTCTAAGACATTCCAAAAAAGTGGTCATGTTTGGTGGGAATGAGGTTTTCCTGCACAATTATGGTTAAATCTCACGTTAGTGAAGATTTTGTGGTTGAAGCCATCTGGAATCCTCTCACTAAGTGGCTTCCCATAGCTCTGGCCAGAAGTCACCTTGGTTGGACATAAGGACATGATTATATATCCTGTTGTTCAGACCTAAGCCTGAGTACTCAATCAGGTTATTAAATTGTTTTTACCCTCACCCTGGATTTTTCTGTAACAAGGATCACCTTGAAAACAGGCTAGACTCTGCTATCTAAAGGTACCTTTACAAAGAGTCTGAAAACAGAATAAATATTATGTTTTCTTGATGAGGCGTTTATTGTACCCTCTGAGCATCCAAACTTAATGGGTCAGAAGAATACCAGGTGCTGCTCTTGTTTGATAAAAGCAGTTATCACATGCTATTTAGAGAGTGTGTGGAAGGAGTTCTTGGCTGTGATTGAATCCTGCAATTCTGTCTCCAACAGGCTTTCAGCAGCCATGGCTCTGAGTCATCTGCCTGGTGACCAGAAGCTGACATCCAATATCATGTGCCTCCCCAGATAATGAGGTCAAATGTGCCAGACCCACAAGGGGCTTGATAACAGCTTATTAACATCCCCAAATGATAGCACTTTTGATTAAACCTCACATGTCTGCCTGTCCCCCCTCTCATCCTTTCTAAAATTAGAGCTGGTATTTTACTAACCATGCCCTTGCTTGAACTTTAGAATGGTTCAAGGATAGTGCAAAATCATGATGTCTTTTCACTGTAATCCCCAAGAACAGGGTTTTTCTGGGTCACAAAGTCTTAGATTAATTCAAACTTTACTGAGTTTTCCTCCCCTTTGGAATAAATTAGATACTTTTTGGAAAGCCAACAAGGTACAAAACAGAGCACAAAGTTTAGATTCAGAAATCATGTGCTCTAATGTGCTTTGTTCCCTAAGCTAAATAGTATGTAAACCAACAGAAGTCACTTTGCGTCACCGTAACTCAGTTTGCCATCTACAAAAATGAAAGAGTGCTACTTTTTAGAGCTTTGTGGAGTAGGAATCAAATAGGATAATAGATAGAAATCCCTCTTTCAATAATGAAAGCAGTATATAACTATTATTATATACTGGTATGTAATATTATTACCATCATAATTATGGTTCCTGTTTCTAGGTTTTATATTTTGTAGCAACATTTATCTGTTTGAGAATTTTAATTGCCAAAGTCAATTTGTCCCATTTTGATTTCAAGACATAATATATTATAAGAGAATTTGAAAATATCCTCTGATGTGCCCCTGGGCCTCCAAAATGAAGCTGTTCTGGGCTGGCAGGCAGCTCTAGAGCCCCATGAAAGTGAGTAGAAGAAAGTTAAGGGCCAGACTGATGAACAGCAGAAGGCAAGCACAATAAGGACTGGGGTGTGGGGGGTCGATAGCAATAGGGAGAGTCTACAATCACATGGAAGAAAGGGAAAGTCAAGATTTCCCTGTCATGGAATAGTTTGTTTGGCATCGGGGGAAGCTGATCAAGGTGAAATTACAAAGAAAAACTAGGAGTGGGGAGGGCTTTCCAGAGAAAATTAAAACAGCTCAGGTGGAAGATGGCTTGCTTTTGGACATGGATTTGACTACAGAGAGGGAGAGGGTAAGACAGGTAGGATAGAAAGTCAAGGATAAATCTGCACCAAGACTCATTGGGTAAGACATACAATGAGTGCCTGAAATCCGAGGCAGGGGCTCTGGGCTCACAATGTCAGCGTGAAGATCATGATGAGGCTGCAAAGCAGATGAGAGTGAAGGAGTGAGAGGGCTGGGAGGAGAGGAAATTCAGGCAGAGAGAGAGATGTGGGAACTTAAGAACTTAGAGGAAAAGAGTTCTGATGGAGGAGATATGCACATGGGTGTGGAGGATGGAAATGGGAGAGCGGAGGTGGTGATTCCTGAAGTGGAGACAGTCAAGAGTCCATTAGACCAGGATCTTCACTGAGTACCCACATTGCAAATGGAATCTCCCAGGCTGAAGGTGGGACTTATAAAGATGGGAAGATTATGATGCACACAAGAACCAATTTTTTCCGTAAATTTAGAAAAATGACCAAGAGTTTAGAAGATGAGAGTGACAAGAAAGGGAAGGGATGATATAGCCCGCATTACAGGGAGCCATCCATAAGGGGATAAGGATATTATTTGGAAGCCAACTCTCCTCTCGCTTCTGATTTTTTTCTTCCTCATCCCATCCTCAGACTCAGGCTCAGAGATGGTGAAGATGTTGAAGAATCAGCAGGCTCCACACGATCCTTGAAAAGACTACAAAATTAATGATGTTTTCTTCAGATAGTCAGATGCAGGTACAGAACGAGGAAGTCAAAGGAATTGCTCTGTGATCAGGAGGAGTGTGTAGAGGACTCTGAAGGACCAACAGAAAGCCTGGGTGGGAAGACAGCCATGGAAGGATTAAATGAGAGGCAGAACATGAAAATTCAGTGGGCAGAGGGGCTTGCATTTGGGGCTATGACTGGCTGACGAGGATGAGAAACAGGGTGGAATGAACTGACCTCAAGATTCTAGGTGAGCCCCCGGGGTGGTCTGAGACCTCAGGCCTTTCCAGAAACCCAATGGCATCAGGATTCTTAACAGAACATTGAAGGATGTGTCCAGGTGCAGACTGGCCCAGGAGCCCTCCCACATATAAGCTCAAAAATGAGGTCTTTCATATGTTCTGCCGGAGATTATGAGTTTGGAGGTGCCATAGTCTCTTTCACCCACTTGCATAGGTTGTAGCTTCTGGACACTCACAAGGCAGCTACTTTCAGCCAGCAAGTGGCCTGCCACCATCGTATCTGAGGTGTGGTAGCCTGAGGTCAGCTCTCAGTTATCAAAGGCCTGATGAAACATAATTCTGACTGTGTTTTGACATTGAGTTCTCAGATTATCTAATGGCACAGATCAACTCCCTTCTTGCTCCTTTACCTTAACCCTATTTTATTCACCCCTTATTCCCAAATTTGTGACATTATTGGTGACCTTGAAAAACTGGTAGCAACCTAAATGCCAAACAATAGGAGAATAGTTAATAAATTATAGCACATTTGAGATTCAGAATACCAAAACGCAGTTTTAAAAATGGGGCAAACTTGTATGTGCTATTGTGGAAGGATCACTATGATGCTTGCTGGGTAGAAAAAGGATTTGATGACATAACTAGAGGGGATCCCATTTTTAGAAGGAAAGAAGGGAGGGAAGGAGGGAGGGAGGGAGGAAGAGATGGGAAGGGATGGAGGGAGGGAGGGAGAGAGAGAGGAGAAATTCATACTTACGTGTACTGTGTGTATACAAGTATGTGTGTTTGTGAGTAGAGAAGATTTTTGAAATGATACCCAATTGATAACTCCAGCTACCTCCAGGTGTAAGCCTGGGGATGATGGGAGGGTAGACAGGAAGAACTTTGCTACTTACACTGTACATTTCTGTGATTCTTGAATTTTTTACAACTATTATTATTTATTATGTTAGTAATTAAAGACAAACAATTCTATAAATGATTGTTTAGATCTGATATTTACAAGCTCTAGTCACACTCAAGTTTTATTAACTTTGGATTTGGGCATGATATAAGCAAGCAGAAAATGTTTATTTACTCACTGATGGCACATTGTTTGGAAGAGCTTGGAGCAAAGATGATGAAAGCAATTTGCAAAATCACTCAGCAGAAACTGGAAAATGTCAATGAGTTGGAAAATTGTTCTGAACAATGCTTGATGAGGGTTAGTCGCTGGGCTGAAGCTGGGAAATTCGAACTGCCTTGCTTTTGTATGCCATTTGCTATCTTCTGATTATGAGTGAGAACTGAAATTATTAGAGTTTCAAGTTACATAAGCAGGCAATTTTCTCATTTTTAAACGAAGATTTAAAAGTCATACACAAATAATTGCAGGTTTTGAAGTGTTGCATCTGAAACCTATACTATAAATATTTTTTAAATAGAATTCAATTTAATTTTAAAATACTGAAAGGTGAAGTTTTTATAATTTACATATTTGATTTGTTTTTATAATTTTCCACCGAAAGGCTAAGTGAGCAAACTTTCCACCCAATTACTCAAAACTCCACTAGAATTGACACCAATGACTTCATCTTATATTAGCTTCCTATCTAAATATACCACTGAAAAAATTATTGCAAATAACCTCAGTGTTAAAAATGGCTTTTTGAACAAACACAATCTCCCCAACAGTGTAAGGGAGCTGCACTTGGAAATGTGTTCCTTGACATTACTTTCCAAAGTCAAGAACACTTCACTAACCCCCATGGCCCAGGTATCAAAGGAAGAAAAGGACAAAGATTGCAGTAGAAAAGGTTTGTCCTCACAGTCAGTCTCATACACACTCTCCCCCAATCCCATTAGGTCCAAGACACTGGTTCTGCCTCTCCGGGAGTGCTCTCCCACCCCACCCTACCAGGTCTGAATTCTCCCGGTGTCTCTGCAGGTTTCTTCTGTAAAATTAACTTGTATGTTTTAAAAACCAGGTCCAATGAAGGGCCATTCAGGAAGAGCAAGTTCAGTCCATGTTTTGAGAAAGGGAAAGAGCTGAATTTCATCCCAAAAAAGAAAATAAAATAAAAGAATCATAGACATTTTGAATTGCAAGAGATTACCAAAATCTTTGAATCCAGTTCTCTCTTTCAAAGCTGAAGAAACCAACTCCCTAAGAGCTATGACACCAGCCAGGACCAAATGGTTATTTTGCGGCCAATTTATTGCTAGATAGAAAGAGATTATCTTCAGTACTATGATATTTCTGGAACATATTGGTGATATTCAAAACATGATTATATTAAAAATGTAGTACATTCAGATTATATACCCTATTAGGTGACAAAAAAATGATATGATAAATTGCAACTTCTTGGTATCTGTCTGTTTTTTAAACCAAGGCTTAAACATTCATCTATTCATTCCGCAAACATTGAATGCCTATTATATGCCAGGCACTGTTCAGATGCTGGGGAAGAGCGGGAACAAAATGGTCATTGGTGAGTTTTGAGGACAGAAGTGAGATGATCTGAATTATCATGTTAAAGGACCTCTCGAGTTGCTGTGTTGAGAAGAGACCATGAGGCAGGGTGAGAGTCAGGCAAAGGCAGAAGCAGGAAAACAAGTTAGAAGGCTGTTGGCAGTAAACATAAGCAAGCATGGTGGCATAGACCAGCAGAGCAGTGCTGGAATCAAGGAAGAGCCAACAGGATTTCTTTCCTCAAGAAAGGAAAGAATCAGGGTCTAACTCCAAACTATTTGGCTTCAGCCACTGAAAGAATGAAGTTGCCATTAACTGAAATGGGGAAAACCAGAAAGATAATAATTGGGAGATAAAATCTGGAATTCAGTTTGGGGCACACTGTTTCAAAACTCTATAAGACATTCAAGAGTGATACTGATAAGCATGGTTGGGCCTAGGATTGCGGAGTTTAGTAGAAATACTGGGTTGGATATTTTCTGACTTTAATTTTGAAGTGAAGAGCCTGATGATAGCTAGTCACCCACAAAGGCTATAAGAAAGTATTTCTCCCTAGAGTATTAGTAGCTATTACATTACCTTGATTCAACCAGTATTTATTTATTAGGCGCTAGGCACTATAACAGGTTCTGAGTGTATAAAGATGATTACGGTTCTTCTTCTTTGACTAAATCTAAAGGAAAAGAAAGAAAATAAACACCACCAACAAAAACCTCAAATACTATAAATGCTGCAAGAGTATGCCCAAGATGCTAGTGAAAAACACAGATGCAGATGTCATGAACTATACCTAGGAAGGCCAGCGGTTGTGTTTGAGCCAGCGTCTTCAGGGTTGCGTAAGAGTTTTACAGACATCCGAGGGTGGGTTGGGCAGTCCGGCAATGAAAACAGGCACAAACACACCAAGGCAGGAAAGAGCAGAGCCCCTGCTGGCACCTGCATGGTGCCTTGTGGCCCAGGCCCAGGCTATGTGTAGGGGAAGGTGGCTGCTAAGAGCTGGGATGAAAGGAAAGTCGTGGGTGTGGTGCGCGGGAGGTAAGATGCGCTGGGTTGCTACGCTACCTCATTAAGGAAGCAAGAACAAACATAGGCCAGCTGAGTAGACACACACACTAGTGCTGCTTGGGGCCCTGCTGTGCTCTGTTGAGATGCAGTTAATCTCCTAGCGGCAGAGGAGTTGGCCCTGCTGTCAGGGAGGGAGGAACAGGTGCCAGGAGCTGGCACTGGCTTGAAAACACTTTCAAGTGTGCCCTTCAGTGGGTTCTCTACAGTTCCTACAGAAGTGGGCCAGCTGCTGCGGGGGCTGGGCAGTGAAAGCCAGGTGCACCGGCGAAGGACCTGGCCTCTCTCTGAGAGGACGGAGGGCCACTGGCAAGCTTTAATTTGGAAAGCGGTATGATGGGCTTGTCCTAAAGGGTTACTTCTTCTCTAGAGACTTTGACAGAGAATAGTACTTCGACTTAGAGAAATTCATCTCATTTAGCAAATATACAGAACTGAATCACAAGCTTGTACAGAGAACACTGGTGCAGATATTTCTCAGATCATATTCTGTGAAGGGCCAACTACCCTGTTCTCATTTAAGAATGGCCTGAAAATGTGTGATTTCTGCCCAGTCTTAATCTCTTAGAGTCACAAAAAAATACTTTTACTTAGGATATTTCAGAAATATGGAACGTCTGCAAACACTCATCAGATTTTAACAAAGAGTTAAGATTTAAACACTATATAAAGGATCATGTATTATCCTGTTCAATATAGCACAGGAAAAAAAAAGTAAAAATAAAGGATCATGTATTGAAACTATGTTCTTATTTCAAAATAACATGTACATGACAAATATATACAGTTTTTTGTCAATTGAAAATAAAATTATGTTCATTGTGCTGTGTGTGTTGGCACCGAGGGACAAAGGAAAAATCAAAGGTTATAAAAGAGGATATTCTCCCTCAGCTGTGCTCCTCAGGAACATTTCTTCATTGATAGATTTAGGCATCTGTCCCTATTCATGACATAAGTTGTGTGGTGTGCCCAATAGTGTATATAACAAGACAGCTAAAGGTGGATTGTGCACTTGTGAGCATGGTAAGTCTCCAAAAGTGTTCATAGGATGATGACAGTGTGGTGGTGATATTTTAGAGGAAGAAAAGTCTTTTTCAGACTGCTGTTCCACTACTGGCTTTTAGAGTATGGAGGATGAATAATGCAACTCATCATCACTCTTTCTTGTCTATTCCTTCCCCTTCATGTCCTCTGGAAAACAGCTAAACAACTTGTATCCTCTTGTACACAGTTTAAGAAACGACCAGCTACAGAGAGCCAAATCATGAGTGAACTCCCATTCACAATTGTTGCGAAGAGAAGAAAATGCCTAGGAATACAACTTACAAGAGATGTGAAGGACCTCTTCAGGAGAACTACACACTACTGCTCAAAGAAATAAGACAGGACACAAATAAATGGAAAAACATTCTATGATCATGGATAGGAATAATCAATATCGTGAAAATGGCCATACTGCCCAAAGTAATTTATAGATTCAATGCTATACTCAACAAGCTACCATTGACTTTCTTCACAGAATTGGAAAAAACTACTTTAAACTTCATATGGAACCAAAAAAGAGCCCACATGACCAAGACAATCCTAAGCCAAAAGAACAAAGCTGGAGGCATCGTGCTACCTGACTTCAAACTATACTAAAAGGCTACAGTAACCAAAACAGCATGGTACTTGTACCAAAACAGATATATAGACCAATGGAACAGAACAGAGGCCTCAGAAATAATGCCACACATCTACAACCATCTGATCTTTGACAAACCTGACAAAAACTAGCAATGGGGAAAGGATTCCCTATTTAATAAATTGTGTTGGGAAAACTGGCTAGCCATACGCAGAAAACTGAAACTGGACCACTTCCTTACACCTTAAACAAAAATTAGCTCAAGATGGGTTAAAGACTTAAATGTAAGAACTAAAACCATAAAAATCCTAGAAGAAAACCTAGGCGATACCATTCAGGACATAGGCATGGGCAAAGACTTCAGGTCTAAAACACCAAAGCAATGGCAACAAAAGCCAAAATTGACAAATGGGATCTAATTAAAATAAAGAGATTCTGCACAGCAAAAGAAACTATCATCGGAGTGAACAGGCCACCTACAAAATGGGAGAAAATTTTTGCAATCTATTCATCTGACAAAGGGCTAATATCCAGAATCTACAAAGAACTTAAACAAATTTGCAGGGAAAAAACAAACAACCCCATCAAAAAGTGAGCAAAGGAGATGAACAGACACTTCTTAAAAGAAGACATTTGTGCAGCCAACAAACATATGAAAAAAAGCTCATAATCACTGGTCATTAAAGAAATGCAAATCAAAACCACAATGAGATACCATCTCATGCCAGTTAGAAAAGTGATCATTAAAAAGTCAGGAAAAAATAGATGCTGGAGAGGATGTGGAGAAATAGGGACACTTTCACACTGTTGGTGGGACTGTAAACTAGTTCAGCCATTGTGGAAGACAGTGTGGTGATTCCTCAAGGATCTAGAACTAGAAATATCATTTGACCAGCAATCCCATTACTGGGTATATACCCAAAGGATTATAAATCATTCTACTATAAAGACACATGCACGAGTATGTTTACCGTGGCACTATTCACAATAGCAAAGACTTGGAATCAACCAAAATGTCCATCAATGATACTCTAGATAGAGAAAATGTGGCACATATACACCATGGAATACTATGCAGCCATAAAAAAGGATGAGTTCATGTCCTTTGCAGGGACATGGATGAATCTGGAAACCATCATTCTCAGCAAACTAACACAAGAACAGAAAACCAAACACCGCATGTTGTCACTCATAAGTGGGAGTTGAACAATAAGAACACATGGACACAGGAAGGGGGACATCACACACAGGGACCTGTAGGGGGGTGTGGGGCTAGGGGAGGGATAGCATTAGGAGAAATACCTAATGTAGGTGATGGGTTGATGCGTGCAGCAAACTACCATGGCATGTGTATACCTATGTAACAAAACTGCATGTTCTGCACTTGTACCCCAGAACTTAGAGTATTAAAAAAAGAAAAGAAATAACCCGCTGCAATTTTGACTTAGTTGTTTTGTTATTTTGGGAAACAGGGAAGGTGAGAAGAAACTAGTTTACATATACAAAGTCCACACACACACACACACACACTCATATTCTGGGCTGTGTGTACTTTCATTGTGCCTTAAAATCTGGAAAACATGGGCTCAGATCTCCTAACTCCACAATTTATGGAAAGTTCAGTGCCCTTGCCAAGAGCAATCTGAATTTCCAAGGGTGTTAGGCTAATAGGGTTGCTTCTTTATTTGAGCCCCTGCTTCCGCTAGACTGTTTTGCCCAGAGCGTCACTGCCCTGCATGTGAGGAACCTGATCCACATGATGGGAAACCGGCCATGGATCTCCCCCACATTCAAAGAGTAACCAAACATGCTACTCACCCAGGGTCTTAGGATGTGAGGTCGACTTTATTGAAGGTTTGGGGGAGATGATTGAAAGTTTATATCACAGAAACTCATACAACTTTAAAGCTAAACAACCTCCACCTCTCTCCTTAAAAGCCCTTGACCTCTCCGTTTTGTTGCTCTTTCATTTCACCTTTCTTTCTCCTCTACTTTTTTAAAAAAAAAAAATTATCTATTTTTAAAAAATATGATGAAGAATTCCCCACCTGCGAAACAGTTAAGCTATCTCCATTCCCTACTCTGAAACTCAACGCAAACTACTTGCTCATAGAAGACTCAGGGAACTCTGATGCCCAGGGTTGATGGGCCTGGCCTTTCTTGGCTGACTGAATCCTTGAACCAGGACTAAAAATCTCACAGTCCATAGCTCTGCCTGGCAAGATCACAGCTGATTGCTATGTTGCTCTCTGTGCTTTCTCATATTTTTCAAATTGTTGCCCATATTTTTTATGCAGGCAAAAGTAAATGATCAAATGCTTTTAAAATGTTCTGCAAAAATAAACCCAGGCTCTTGTGGAAAATAGTTTCTTGGAGGATATATATCAAGGAAATTTGAAGGTGAAGTGGATGCTAAGAGCAGGCAGTCCCCGAACTTTTCCTGTAAAGAGCCAGAGAGTAAATATTTCAGACTTTGTAGGCCAAACACTCTCTGTCACAAATATTCAACTCTGCCATTGTTGCCAGAAAGCAGCCAGCAACAATACACAAACAAGTGAGCCTGGCTGTGTTCCAATAAAACTTTATTTACAAACTAGAGGTAAGCCTGATGATTGAGTCCGTGAGCTATAGCTTGCCAACGCCTGCTAAGAGGAAGTGTTGAATGTATATATGTGCTTGATGGGAACTTGAATGACACTCTCACAAAGGGGAAAGTTAAGATGATGTGGTAAAGCCATCATATAGCTTTCATAAAATTTAATTGTTTCTCTTTTTAGTATCTTTCAGAGAAAGTTTATTTGTTTTTTCGTTTGTTCTTGGGTTTGTTTGTTTGTTTGTTTGTTTGTTTTGAGTCTTGTTCTGTAGCCCAGGCAGGAGTGCAGTGGCACAATATCGGCTCACTACAACCTCCTGCCTCCTGAGTCGCTGGGATTATAGGAGTCTGCCACGATGCCCAGCTAATTTTTTGTATTTTTAGTAGAGACGGGATTTTGCTATGTTGGCCAAGTCTCAAACTCCTGGCCTCAGGCTATCCGCTGGCCTCAGCCTCCCAAAATGCTGCAATTACAGGCATGAGCCACCATGCCTGGCCCAAAAGTTTAGAAAGAAAAATGACTTAGCTCCTTCAAAAACTAAATTTTAAAAGGAATTGGAAGGCTAAGGTGCTAGGTTCAAAGAAAAAGTAAGTTGGATTAGATAAAAATACATCTGTCTGGTGAAGAAAAACTTTCTTGTTAGCGGAGAGGCAACATTAGGCAAAGAACTGCTGGCCATGGTCTCAGGAACCCTGAACATGTCTGGCCTCTGGCAGGAACTTTGTGACGTTCAAATCAGTTAACTTCTCAGGGGCACAAGCTTCTTTCTGGTAAATGATAACGTTGCATTAGATGAGGCCAATGCTTTTCCAGCTCTAGGATTCCATTAAAGATTACCTCAGAATCTTACAGAGAATTAGGGGCAGACACGACAATCTATTTTTCCTCTTTTCCTCCTTAAGAGTTAATAAATCGATCTAGTGCTTCCCACCAGCCAGGTGGTTGCTTTACATTATCTTACTTCACAGCTCTCATCCCTGGACATGTCCAGTTGACCCTAGAGTTTGGGTATCATTATCTTGACCTTTTAATAAAGAACATAGGCTTCTCAGTAGTCAAATGATTTACCCATGGTTATATGTTATATAAATAATAAGAGTTAGAACTGAGAGACTGACTCTAGGCCCAGCATTTTAGGCTATAGCACTAATTTCCTTTCATCATAGATGTATACCCTCCTTGTTGTCAGGAAATAAAAAAATTGGATACTGAAAAACAAATGGGAACTTTCTTCTGAGAGTTAGCACAAATGGGAGAAGTCAGTAGGAAATTTGCAAAGTACATATTGGAGGTTCAACTATTGAGGGAAACCTTTGACAGCAAGAGTAGGTTTAACATAAGTTAAAGGCAATTTTCTACATAGGTCTAAAAAATAAAAACTAGGTTAGGTTGGGAGAGATGGTTGTTGAAAAAGAGTGTGAAGGAGGATCCAGATGTCAATTCCAATCTGTACCTGGGGATCCTAAAGGGAAAAAAATCTTCCAAAGGAGAGAGAACTGCTCTTGCAAGTTCATTTCCCAAGTGAAAGACAGCTTTGCTACATTTGCAGCTAGGCTTTACAAGAAAAAGGATGGTATACCTGGAGGCAAGCTAGGATTTTCTGAAGGAGGAACAAATTGTACATCTTTCTCCTACTGCCTTCTGACCTCTGGTTAGTCCCCTAATGAAGACCAATAGATTATTTTAGACCTCACAGAAGCAGGGCAGAGGGAAGGAGGAGTGGTGCCTTACTCACAGAAGGAAGTCATTATCATCTTTGAAGATGACTTCAGACACAGCAGTGGCAGTGATAGCCTTTTGCTTTCAATTACTAACATTTTGAGTAAAAGAAATGGTAGTATCTTAGCATCAGGCTTTTGTTGGGAAATATGTTCTAGCCTATTTTTTTTTTTTTACTTTCATATTGTGTGTAAGTGTGTGTGCATGCATGTGCATGCATAAAAGTTTTCTGGTCACGAAGGGCCTTTTACTGTCACTAATGGAAGCAGGAGAGACCATTACAGAACATGGAAGCATTAGTGCCCAGGAAATGTGTTCTTGTTTGGAGCCAGATAATTATGGTGAATAGAGAAGCCCTAGCTACCATCAGCTTGTTGATGTGCCTTTTGGGGCATCCTGACAAGGAGGTTACTGTTAGTCAGAAGAAAAACAAATCAAAGTCGGATGAACACAGGGAGTTCATGAGGAAGGAAGATGAATTAAATAAGCAGGAAGACAATTATCCTTCTCCACCAATACAGCCATAAGCTTTGTTCAATATTTCCAACTTAAGACATTCAGCTAATGGTTTTCGGGCAAGGTCAGGTCGGTCAGTCTAGAAACGAAAACAGCTCACTCTGCTGTTTCACCTGTTCCCTCACCTCTTTTTCCACAGGGAATCTTACAAAAGTGAATTGCATTGACAGTTCAGTCCATATCACCAGCTGAAATCTCCACTGTGTCAATGCAAAAAATTATGTCTGCTTTTAGGAACTGAGGCATTTTAGTGGAACTTGGCTTCCTCTCAAATTAGGATAAACTCTTGAAACTGAAGATTAGTTTATATTTTAATATCGTTAGAAACTGGCCAGGCATGGTGGCTCACACCTGTGATCCCAGCCCTTTGGGAGGCCGAGGTGGGCAGATCACTTGAGGTCAGGAGTTCGAGACCAGCCTGGCCAACATGGTGAAATCCCATCTCCACTAAAAATACAAAAATTAGCTGGGCAAGGTGGCGTGCACCTGTAATCTCAGCTACTCGGGAGGCTGAGGCATGAGAATCATTTGAACCTCAGAGGCAGAGGTTGCAGTGAGCCGAGATTGTGCCGTTGCACTTCAGCCTGGGCAACAGGGTGAGACTCCGTCTCAAAATAATAATAATAATAATAACATCTTTAGAAATCATTATAATCAAATTAAATCAAATCATTGTACTTTAGTAATCTTTTCGTGGTAGAACTCAAGCAGGTAAGAACATCCCTAAGTGACTAAACCAGGCAGAGGACACATTTAAATTAGATCAGGCTGAGAGGTATTTAAAACTGGGAGGGAATGGAAATTAGCCAAATGTTGATCAGCTATATTTATTAATAGAGGGGTATATTGCAATTGTGGAGGCTACATGGGAAAGTCCTGGTCAGAAGTCATGTCTGGCAAACGGAAAGGAGAAAAGTAATCCTGCCAGGTAAAAAGGGTTCTGCTGAGAAACATGGATCCCCACAGGGTATTGTGGAAGAAGTAGAACGAGGAAATTCATTTAAATGCCTTCATGGAAAGGAGGACTCTCAGGAGCTTTCCCAGCTGCCTTTTCAACCCCACAGGGTCTCCCCTCACACATCTTTAAAAAGCTTTCATTTTCTACATCAACACCCGGGGGGGTCATGTGCTCATCCTTCCTTGCTCAAAGTCTCTTTCTCTCTTTTCTCTCTTCCAGAGTGCAGTGGTAATATAAAGACAGCTTAGATCCCATGACCCCCACGTACCTCCATTTTATCAGATTTCTTTGAGTCAGCTTGCACAGCAAGTTTAAACTGGGGAGAGGACTAAACCAAAATTCTCTAAGGAGTATTTCTTCCATGGCTCTGCTCTACCTGGTCTGAAAAGAAGCAGCAGAAGAAAAAAGTGACACTGAATACCATATTGTGTAGCATATTTTAGGAGAGGGGTAGCTTCTGGCTTTAGTGATTGTTTTGTGTTGATAAGACGTAACTGCTTATGTACAAACTCTGAAGAAAGAAAGGCTTGGTTGCCCTTAAGCTGCGGTCAAATATTTGAAGGCTTGTTCTAAAGAAGAGTACTGAATTTATTCTTGTTACTCCAAAGGGAAGAACTACAACCATGTGTAGAATTTATGGAAAAAATATTTTGACTCGGCATTAAAAAACAGGCGTTACCTTTACTGCCTTGAAAAGTAGTGAAACTTCCAGCACTGAGAATGTTCAAGCAGAATGCAACCTGAGTTGTATTAGTCAGGGATGGCTAAGCTGAAGTAACAAGTACACCCAAAAGACTCAGTGACCCAAAGAACAAGAAGTTTGTTTGTTTTCTCTGCTGTGCCAGCCCTGGGCAGGTATTCCAGCCAGTGGTTCTCCCTCCACACCCCCACCATTCCACAGTCATTCAAAAACCCAGGCTAAATGATGATTCTGATGTGTCTGAGTTGTCCTGGACACCACCATCCCAGTGCCCTGGAACAAGGAAAGAGCATGAACATCACACAGGGGAAGTTGTTATAGGCTAGGCTTGGAAGTGGCACACATCCCCATCTCCTCCACTACTCCCAGTGTATTGGCTGGAACTCAGTCTCATGGCCATAACTAACTGCAAGGGAGACTGGGGAACATGGTCTACCTGGTGATCTTGGACTAGCTATTTAATATCTCAGCCACATTTTCCTCAACTGTAAAAAATGAAGATAACTCAAAAGATACTATCAAGAAAGCAAAAAGACAACCCACAGAATGGGAGAAAATGCAAGTCATATATCTAATAAGGGTCTCTATAAAGAATAAATAAAGAACTATTATAACTCAATGATAGAAAAGACAACCCAATTTAAAAATGACAAAAGATTTGAAAAGGAATTTCTCCAAAGAAGTGTATAAATGGCCAATAAGAACAAAGAAAAAAGCTCATCATTGGTCATCAGAGATACACAATTCAAAACCACAATGAGATACTACTTTACACCCATTGAGAAGGCTAGAATAAAAAAGACAATAATAAGTGTTGAGAAATTGGAACCCTTATACAACACAGGTGGGAATGTAAAATGGTACAGCTGCTTTGGAAAGCAGTTTGACAGTTCCTCAAAAAAGTTAAACATAGAGTTACCACATGACTCAGCAATTTCACTCTTAGATATATACCCAAGAGAAATAAAAACATATAGCCACACAAAAATGTATACACAAATGTTCACACCTGAATTATTCATAACAGCCAAAATGTGGAAACAAACCAAATACCAAATGACCATCAACTGGTCAATGAACAGATAAGCAAAATGTGATATATCCATACAACGGACTATTATTTAGCCATAAAAAAGAATGAAGTAGGGAGACAGGCTATGGCATGAACCTTGAAAACATTATGCTAAGTGAAAGAAGCCAGACACAAAAGGTTACATATTGTATTACTCCATTTATATAAAATGTCCAGAATATACAAATTCATAGAAACAAAAAATGGGTTAGTGGCTTAGAAGGTTTTGGGGGACAGAGAAACAGGGAGTGACTGATAATAGACATAGTGTTTCTTTTTGTAGTGATGAAAAGTTTCTGCAATTAATAGTGATGGTTGAACAACATTGTGAATACACTAAAAAACACTGAATTGTGTAACTTAAAAACGTGACTTCTATATGTAAATTTAAATAATAAAGCTATCCATTAAAAATAATACCTACCTGTGCTAAGACTGCAATTTGATACTATTTCGCCTTTCTTTCATAGTAATAGGATTATAGTTGAGACCTAGCTGTCCAGTGAGGAACTACATTTCCTATGTTTCATTGCACAAATTGGGGTGGCCATGAGGTAAGTTCTCGCTAATGAAACGTGGGAATGGTAACAGCTAAAGCAAGCTTGGGAGCCATATCTTGCAGAAAACAGGGCCACTGCCAGCCCAAGGGTATAGATGACATCACACAGCAGAGCTGCCATCAAAACTCACCTCAAGGCTGTTGGTGGAGAAACACACTTCTGGATTCTTAAGCCACTCTATTTTGGATTCCATTTGTTACAGAAGCTAGTGTTACTCCATCCATGCAGAAGTATGTAAATGAAATAGGTGCTATCTTAACAAAAATCTAATATGCATGCCATTGGCTTAACAGTCAGGCAGTGAGTGGTGAAGAAATAAACATTATAGGCTGGGAAGTTGGAGACATTTCTATACCACACAAAACATTTGTCTGCAGTAACATGCAGTAGTCCCCCCTTTCCCAAGGAGGATATATTACAAGACGTCCAGCGTATGCCTGAAATCTTGGATAGCACCGAACCCTATATATACTATTAAAAACTATATTTTTTCAATCTGATAACCAAAGTGGCTACTAAGTGAATAATGGATAGATTATTTATACAGCTGGACAAAGGGATGATTCACATCCTGGGCAGGACGGAGTGGGATGGTGAGAGACTTCATCACCCTACTCAGAATGGCATGTAATTTAAAACTCACGCATGAATTATTTATTTCTGGAATTTTCCATTTAATATTTTAGAGTCACATTTGACCTCCAGTAACTGAAACCACAGAACGTGAAACCACAGATAAGGGGACTACTGTACCTACTGAGCCGGTAGCTCTGAGGTAACTGCTTGAACAGAACTGCACATTTGTGTGTATTGCCTGCTCCTTGCTGTTTTTAGCATGACTTTATAAAAAAAGAGAACACAATATAAAAAAAATGGCTGGAAGGAAATAGAACCAAAACACAACAAAAAAACGGAAGGAAATAGAAAAAGTACAGAAATCTATAATTTCATATTCATTCATTTGTTCATTCATTCAACAAATATGTTCCAAGCACTTGGACTACACCAGTGAACAAAATATACAGTAAAGCTTATGAAATTTCAATTGGAAAGACATAATACAAACAAAACATATAATAAATAAATTATCTATGTTACAAATATGTCATGGAAAACAAAATTATGGAGGACAGTGAGCACAAGAGTGGGGGACAGTTTGTGATTTTGAGTAGGATGGTCCTGGTTAGCCCTATTGAGAGGGCAATAATTTGAGCAAAGACTTGCAGATGAGGGAGTTCAATGAATAGGTGCCTAGAGAAATTGTGTTCTAGGCAGAAGAATAAGATGGTCAAGAGCCTGAGATGGATGTGACTAGTGTTTTCAAGGAACACCAAGGAAGCCTGTGTGGCTGGAGTTGTGTTAGCAAGGGGAGTTAGCAAGTAAGTGACAAGTCACAGAGGAAAATGGGGCTGTCCATATGACTTTAGCTTTTACTCTAGTGAAAAGGGGAGCCTTCCAGGGTGTTGAGCAGAGGAGCAACATTTCAAAAGGCTCACTCTTGCTCTGGGAGGGAAATGCAGAAACACATGTCTAAGTCAAGAGGTGCTAACAGTAACCCGGGCCAGGGATGAAGGTTGCTCAGACCAGGGTGATAGCATGGGAGGCCAAGAGAAAAGATGGACTCAGGTTAACTTTTGAAAAGATGTTTTTGCTGAAAGACTGGAGGTGGGTTGTGAAAGAAAGTGAGGAATAAATGACTCCAGAGTTATTAGAAGAATAAAGTTAAATGATGCAAATAAAATATAAACACTAAGACCAAAGCCAAATGGATGTCAAATTGTCAAGTTATACAAGAGGGTATTTCATAAAGTGTGTCAGAAATATGGTTTAGGCTTAAGGCAAAAATGATCTGCCTAGTACCCCACAAATATCACAACTCCCACAACTGAATTAAACTGGTCCTCTGGAAGCTGAAGAATTTAGGGAGGGGACGGCTGATTAGCACATAGACATTGGAAGAGCAACGGGAGTCTAGCACATCTGAGAATAAGTTGTCCAGCAAAGCAGAAGAGAGTCAGGGCCCATGAATCTCTCAGTGCAGCCCTCTCCCCACAGCAACACACTGGATAGGATGCTCTCAGCAATCTCCCAGTGGTCATCCTCCTCCCTCAGGAAAGAATAAGAACACAGTGGGAAAAGAGACTAGCAGCTTTTCCCTGGAAACACAAAGAATGAGGAATAAAAAATGTTCTCCATAACAATCAGGATTATTGAACTGTACAAATAGAAATATATTTACTTTTAGAATAGAATAATTCTTCAGGACATGTCTTTAAAATCTTATTTTAGAGGGCATATATAAAAGAATTAGTTCATTCTTATGTTTACAATATTCTTCATCGCTTAGCCAATGAATTTCTCTGAGAGGCAATAGTGTTATGAAAACAGCCTAACTTTGGGGGGCCAGTTATAATCTTGACCCCTCCACCTACTAGCTGTGTAGGTAAGTTACTTAACAGCTTTCAGCTTCAATTTCCTGGCTATAAGAGAGGAGCAATGGTACTGGATGAATGAGATGCATATGGAAGGTAAATATTATAGTGTCCCCCTCATAAACTGCACCAACAAAGGTTAGTTTCTCCTTAATACAAGAGGCTCAGTTGTGATGTGGAATGCCAGCTTTCTGATATACTTGGAATAGAGCTGTTCTTCCTGAAACACTGGCTCTCATATATGACATGCAGCTTGCCCAAGTTGAAAGGGGACATTTTACTTTCCATTCAAACTCCCTCGGCCTCATTTTGGGGCAGCTTCTGAAAGCTTGTTGACCCCAAGTGCCACACTTCTGATAAGAACTGATAAGAGAATTCGATACAATGATGAAAAGGATCATCTCATGAAAGAAACTTTTCTTGTGATGTCTTCAGCCCTAGCTCAAAGTCTTGTGGTTGCCAGCAGATCAAAAAAAGCCTGGGGTTAAAATAAAACCTCCATGGAGGTTTGTTTGTGGAAGCTGACTTGCTGGAAGACTACATTACTCAATGATTTTACAGTCTATTCTTATTGATGATATTTCAATTATATGCAGTTGATTACAAATTTTTCTAACACCATAGTACTGGTTCAGAGCTCTTACTAATTATGAGAGATGCTGTGGAAAATTATGATAAGGGAATTTCAAATGCTTTAATTAAAATTATTCACAGAATTGACATTTATGACTAATTTGGTTCTTCTTTTATGCTATAAGTTAATCCATATTTTGTGTCGTATATGAAAGGAAATTAGGAGAATATCAGGAGCAAACTACTACCAGCAGCAATAGCAGTTGTCTATTTATAAAATAGTCTCTAGTGTTCAAAGAAAAAAAATCTATATAGAAAGATTTATTTTAAAATGGTCTGAACATATTACTAGATGAGAGTCAATTGCTTCATAGCATTCTTTGGCATTCTTCAGCATTTTCCCACAGCAATTTATGCCTTTGTGTAATATGATATAATAGAAAGAAGTAGACTTTGGGAGTTTAAAAGTTCTTGGTTTTGGCCAGGCGCGGTGGCTCATGCCTGTAATCTCAGAACTTCGGGAGGCCGAGGCGGGTGGATCACGAGGTCAAGAGATTGAGACCATCCTGGCCAACATAGTGAAATCCCGTCTCTACTAAAAACACAAAAATTAGCTGGGTGTGGTGGCACGCCCCTGTAGTCCCAGCTACTCAGGAGGCTGAGGCAGGAGAATCGCTTGAACCCAGGAGGTGGAGGTTGCAGTGAGCCAAGATCATGCCACTGCACTCCAGCCTGGTGACAGAGTGAGACTCCATCTAAAAAACAAAACAAAACAAAACAAAACAAAAAACAGTTCTTGGTTTTATCTTGGGTCAGCTGGTTATTTGATATCGAGCCAAAAAACCCCAGTTTTCTCAAATGTAATATAGGGATAACTCATAAGATTGTTCTACAGATCTAACAAGTAAATCGTAGAAAACATCTAGTGTTGGGACTAGTATCTAGCAGGCACTCGATAAATGGTAACTATTATTTACATGGATAGCTATCATAATTCTTTTGATTCTATTTCTGAAGGAGAATGCTATATGAAATCCGAGTCCAAAAAATATATATGCTGGAGAGAGATATTCATAGCTATAAAGTAAAACAGAAGAAAATGGAATCTCATTTTTTAAGCTACCTATTATTTTTGCATGATTATTATGTGGCAGACAATATGCTGAGACATTTACATGAGTTGTCTTATATAACACTCACAATAACTTTTTTTTTTTTTTTTGAGATGGAGTTTCACTCTGTTGCCCAGGCTGGAGTGCAATGGTGCGATCTCGACTCACTTCAAACTCCACCTCCCGAGTTCAAATGATTCTCCTTCCTCAGCCTCCTGAGTAACTGGCATTACAGGCACCCGCCACCTCATCCAGCTGATTTTTGTATTTTTAGTAGAGACAGGGTTTCACCATGATGACCAGGCTGGTCTCGAACTCCTGACCTCAGGAGATCCACCCACTTCAGCCTCCCAAAGTGCTGGGATTACAGGCATGAGCCACCACGCCTGACCCACAATAACTTTTTTTCTTTTTTAAAAGTGAGATGGAATTCCCACACTATAAATTTACCAGTTTAAATAGTACAATTCAGTGGGTTTTAGTATATTCACAAGATGGTGCAACCATCATCAATATCTAATCCCAGAACATTTCCTTACCACAGAAACTCTACACCCATTAGCAGTCATTGTCCCACTCCACAGCTCCTGGAAACCACTGTCTTAGTCCATTAGTGCTGCTATAACAAATACCAGAAGACTGGATATTTATAAATAATAGAAATTTTATTTCTTACAATTCTGGAGGCTGGGAAGTTCAAGATCAAGGTACTAGCTTTAGATGTCTGGTGAGGGCCTTTTTGCTACATCCTCACATGGCAGAAGGGAGGTACGAACAAAAAAGGGACTAAGAGGTCAGGCGCAGTGGCTCACACCTGTAATCCCAGTACGTTGGGAGGCTGAGGTGGGCAGATCACTTGAGGTCAGGAGTTCAAGACCAGCCTGGCCAACATGGTGAAACCCTGTCTCTACTAAAAATACAAAAATTAGCTGGGCATGGTGGCAGGCATCTGGAATCCCAGCTACTCAGGAGGCTAATGCAGGAGAATTGCTTGAACCCAGGAAATGGAGGTTGCTGTGAGATGAGATTGTGCCACTGTGCTCCAGCCTGGGCAACAGAGCAAGACTCTGTCTCAAAAAAAAAAAGAAAAAAGAAAAAGAAAAAGGGACTTAGCTTGTTCCCCTCAACCCCTTTATAAGGCACTAATCCATTTGGGAGGGCAAAGCCCTCATAACCACTTTCCAAAAGGCCCAACCTCTTAATACCATCACAATGAGGATTAAGTTTCAACATGAATTTTGGAGGGAACACATTCAAACCATAGCAACTAATAATCTACATTCTGTCTCTATGGATTTGCTTGTTCTTGATATTTTATGTAAATCAAATCATACAATATGCAGCCTTTTGTCCCTGGCTTCTTTAACTTAGCATAATATTTTCAAAGTTTATCCATGTGGTAGCAGCTGTCAGTACTTCATTTTCATGTCTGAATAATATTCTCTTGTGTGGATATAACACATTTCGTTTATCCATTCATCAATTAATGGCACAATAACATTTTACAGCTGAGAATATTGAAACCTAGAAAGTTTAAGAAAACTTGCCAAAGATCACACAATTAATCAGTACCAGGGCAAGGATTTTAACCATAGCTTTTTTAAAATGCAAAGTTCATATTCTTAATCATTTTTCCTTATTATATCTAATTTTAAAAATAGATTGGTATATAATGAGAAATAAAAGAAATACATCTCCATGCCTTTGGCTTATTTTTCTATAGGATTTTTTATGTCTTTCTTAAGGATTTAGAGGTGTTCTTAATGTAGATATTACTTTGATACTAATATTTTGTTGGTAGTGTGTATTGTAAATATTTTCTTTCATTCTGTAACTTTTTTCACATCTTGAATATGTATTTTGATGAATAAAATTTCTCAACTTTAATATAATCAAATTTATCATGGTCTTATAGATATAGTTTCTGTGTCTTGTTAAGGAACTCTTCTGCTACACTAAGGTCTAAAACATATTTACTTATATATTCTAACATGAGTATAAAGTTTCATTCTTTATATTGAAGTTCTCAATTGACCTGAAGCTGATTTTGTATATGAAATGTGGAAAGGTTCTAATTTTATCTCTTTCCAAATATTATTCCACCCATGCATTTCATAAAAGAGGAAATACACATGGCCAAAAAAGATTTGAAATAATATTGAACTTCATTAGCAATGGAGTAAACACAATACAAAAACACAGTTAATAGCATATTATATTCTTTTAAATGGCAAAAAAATTTGAAGTTTACAATATCAAGTATTTAGAGAATGTGGTTCCACAGGATCTCTTACATTGCTGATGGGAATGCAAAATGTTAAAACCATGAGAAAAGCAATTTGATATTTGTCTTGGTCCATTCGGGCTGCTAAGATAAAATACCATAACTTGGGTGGTTTATAAACAACAGAAATTTTTTCTCACAGTTCTGGAGGCTGGGAAGTCCAAGATCAAGGCATTGGCGGATGTGGTGTCTGGTAAGGGCTTGCTTTTCAGGTCCTAGATGGCACCTTCTTGCTGTGTTCTTACATGGTGAAGGGGATAGCTAACTCTCTGGGTCTCTTTATAAAAACATTAATCCAATCGTGAGGGCTCCACCCTCATGACCTAATCACCTGCTAAAGGTAACACTTTCCAACAGTATCACCATGGGGGTTAGGATTTCAACATATGAATTTTGAGGGAACACAAACATTCAGACAATGGCAGTATTATAAAGTTGAACATTCACACCCCCTGTGAGCAACAATTCCACAGAAACAATACACATAGCACCATTGTTCATATTAACAAAACATGTAGAAAACCCAAGAGCTCATGTCAGGAGACTGGTGAATAAACAGTATTATATTCACATAAAGTTTCATAGAGTGGTTAAAATAAATGACCTTCAATAACAGACAATAATATGAAAGCATCTTAGCTATATATTATTAAGTGAATAAAACTAATTCCTAGAAGATAACATACAATTTGATATTCATTTTTGTAACCTTAAAAATAATTTTAATAAAAAGAAAAAAAAGAGAATGATGAACACCTCTTCAGGATGGAGGTTACCTTAAGTGAGGGGAAGCAACAGGTTACCATGGAAGGGGACCAAAAAGGCATATGTAGGCTAGCTTTTTTTTCTGAGTAGCAGGTTCATGAATGCTGATGACATTATTAAAGGTAACTAACCAACAAACAAAGATATAAAAGAGGCCATATATGGAGTAATATTATGAGTAACCTTTTTTTTAGAGATAGAATTTCATTCTGTCACCCAGGCTGGAGTGGAGTGGTGTGACCATAGCTCACTGCAGCCTCAAACTTTTGTACTTAAACCATCCTCCTGCCTCAGCCTCCCAAGTAGCTGGGACTACAGATGTGCACTACCATGCCTGGCTAATTTTTCAATTTTTTTTGTAGAGATGGGGTCTCACTATGTTGCCTAGGATGGTCTTGAACTACTAGCCTTAACCAATCCTCTTGCCTCAATCTCCCAAATTATTGGGATTATAGGCATGAGTCACTGCACCTGGCCTGTTATGAGTATCTTGAAGCAGAAATTTGATTACTCTAATTCTGAGTAGCTGTGGTGTAATACAAAATAAAAACAAAGAAAAATAGCTAATAAACAGCCATGTTTAAAAGGGCATGAATTTGATAAAACAGATTCTTTGCTAGGACCATTCCAAACAATAATGGTCAGATAAATCTAAAATTATAGTAGAATTATATATAAAAATGCAGGTTTTCATCTGAAAGTCCAGTAGCAGATTGATGAATTTTCATAAGAGAAGAATGAAAGTGACATGATGAAAATATTAGCTTTAGCTTGTTTGTTTGTGGAAACTCCATTCCAACTACCTCATATAGCACTTGGCAGACTTTAAGCAAGGATTCAGAGAACAAGTGGCAAAAGCAAAAGTGCACAGGTCAGAGGGCCGTCCTGAACATGTTAGCAGAAGAATGTTTCACAGCAGAATACATTATCATAGGCATTGTTATAAATTGAATTGGGCCCACCCTCTCCCAAGTTCACATACTGAAGTGCCACTGTAACTGTATTTGGAGATAGGATCTTTATATAGAAAGGTAATTAAGGTTAAATGAGGTCATAAGTGTGAGTTCTAGTACTTTAGAATTGGTGTCCTTATGAAAAGAGAGATACCAGAACTTGCGTTTGCTCCCTCTCTCTCTCTCTCTCTTTTCACCGCAGAGGAAAGGCCATATGAGAATACAGTAAGAAGGTGGCTGTCTGCAAACCAAGAAGAGAGCGCTCACCAGGAAACTAATCAGCCAGCATCTTGACCTGGAATTTGTACCTTCCAGAACTCTGAGAAAATAAATTTCTGTTGTTTAAACTACCTCATCATATTAACTACCTCATCATATAAACTACCTCATATTTTGTTATGGCAGCCCATGCTGATGAATACAGACACCCTGGTTAGAAGTTGGACTGTTGGAATATTCAGAGACATTAGTCCAACTCCTACACACACAAATTGTCTGACTAGGAGTTTTTTTTTTCAATTACCTACATCCAATCACAGTCTTTTTCTGGGCTGATAAGGTGCTAAGCGCTATACAGAACAGAAATGCGTTTGAGCTGAGTTCACAGGACTCACAAGAACACAAAGGGCTGTTCTTGGCCTGAGAACACCTGAGTATGACCTCTCAGATGCATCTATAGTCCCTTTCACTTCAGCTTACTGTCAAACCAACAATTTTATGTTTAGTATTCTCTTACTTTTCTTTATGGTTTTACCACATGTATATGTATTCCTGAACAAATATTTTTAATTGATTTTTTCAATCTAGACCAATTTTTTTTGTTTTATTGTCTCACTCCCCCTGCCAGATATAAGCTCTCAGAGGGCAGAGATTTTTGCATGTTTTGTTTGCTGCTATATTCCTGGTGCCTAAAACAGCACCTGGCACATGTCAGGTGCTTATATATATTTGTTGAGTAAATGAATTAACTGATATAAGTGAGTGGAAGTAGTTCCTGAGGCCTTCCTCTTTTCTCACAGATGTCCACCTAAAGATTTGTGTAAAGTTAGTATCTGTGGGAAAAAATTATCTATGTTACAAAAGCCTAGCCTTTTATGCTGTCAGTACTCAAGGATTCATCCTATTAACGCATGAAAAATTCTTGCTCAATTGTACATATGCACTTTTGCTTCCTATTTATTGCTGTGTCACCAAGCTTGCAGCAGGCCTGGCTACAGTCAAACCATCAATCCCACAGTGATATTACACAGCGTTTTACTGTCATACCTTATTGTGTCAAAGTTCATCCATTCTACACTTCTACATCTACATCCCATCATCATATTTTTCCTAAGACAGAGTACCATATTCTTATACAAATGGCCTTCTGACATTCGTGGGTTCATTGCCTAATTCCTGGGACATAGCAGTCCTGTGGCCTCCAGTAAGAGACCTTCCCAGACTAGCCTCCATAAGCTAATCTGAGCAAGAAATGAGGAGAAAGAAGGCAACAAGCTCATCTGACCATTGGTCTTTCTGACCTGTGAAAATGGAAATCCAGATGACAGAGATGAATTCAGAGATGAATTCAGGGGTTCATCTTGGGTCACCTCCCTGTTCTCTCTCTTCCATAGCTCCACGCCTCCCTATTTCCTGCACTCTGGTTAGATCTTCATTCTTGCCCTTGGATTCAGAGTATGAAGCTCCTTCCTCAAATGTCAGACCCTACATTCTTTCTTCACATAGTCCCACCTCTTCCTTTGCTTTGCCCTGGTTGCACCCTTTTGAAGCCCAGAGACCACTAAATCCAGGTCAGCAGATTATAAAGTCCTGCTTAAAGTTGGCAAGAAGCATCATTTCCTCAACCTCACAGGGCTTCCAGAACTGACAGCTGCAGACTTCAGTGAACCTTTGCTCAATATTTCCTTGCACAGAGCTGAGAAATAGTAACTTCCATCCAGAAACATTCTTCTGAATAAAGATGCACTGGGAGGTTTAAGGATAAATTTTTGGTCTCAGAGCAGTCATCTTTTCCTTTTCACAATATTCTAATTTCCTGCAGATTTCTCATAGCCCAGAATAAAGACACTGGGATTTTTTAATACATATTGAGAGAATTTCAGAGACAAGGAGCATTTATAACACATACTCTTGAAGTAGATGAGTTCATTTGAACACATCAAGCTAATTGCCCTATTGTGAGGAGGGTGGTAGCTTGTTTCACGGGGTTGCCATTGTTACCCATTCCTAAGAGGGCAACTGCACTTAAAAAGGATTTTCTAATTCCTGAGCCACCTCTTTGTTTCCTCCTGTCTTGGATGAAGTCACTAAGCTATCTTTATAACTTCATATCATTTTCCAAGCAACACACTGAGAAGCTATAAACAGAACATTGGGGAAAGCCAAACCCACACAACTTGTAGGAAAATTGGATTAAACATTGGTCTGTAATCAAAAGTGATCCTGGTGAAAATTAATTAAAGAGAAATATTTCTGTTGCCTGTGGCGTTATTCTGCTGTGCAGAGAACAACTGTTCCAGATAATAGCATTTGACTCCCAAAGTGAGAGTGGGATTTATAATTTTTCTCTCTTAAGAAATTACTAGTCATGGACAAGAAGAAACCCCCTGCCTTCTAGTGTGCCTATAAAAATAATTTGGTGCAACTTGCAATTTGCATAGATCCAACCTTGGACCTTGGACATTAAATCCAAGGTCTAAGATGAGAATTCTCTTCTTGACCAGAGTGATCGCTCATCCTTGCTTGTTTCCCTGCACACCCTTCATCCCCTGACATACTAATAAAAAATAATTCATCTGACAATACAAGCTCTTCTTTCTTTGAGTTCTTTCAGTTTTTCTCTGAGTAATTTCAGCCTATCCACTTGGGTCACGAAAATTTGCAGAATATGTTATCTTAGAGGTAGATCAAAACACAAAATGAAAATTTTCTGATCCCTTTCTGGCCTCTTCCCTCAAAAAGAAATAGGAGCTAGTGGTTAGCAAGTCTTTGAACTTTTCCATGTTCTTTCCTTGAATTTTGAAGAGTAGTTCCGCAGTAAGTTGCTTTTATTTTTGTTTTATCAATGTATCTATATTGAGTTCTTGGTTTTAACTAGTGATGTTACTTTATCACGTTTCAGTCCCTCTAAGGCTATATTTTATTCATTTAATGTGATGTAGTTTGTATTTGACCTATTTTCTGTGGGGATATGTTTTGTATATTTTCAGAGTTTATCTAAAAAATGACAATTAAATCTTGAACAAGTTCTTCTATTTCAGTGTAGCTAAATTTACTGGTAGCCAGAGGAAGAGTTGTTAAGAGTTAAGAAAACATATATTTACTTTCCACTTAAAAATAGAAAAGAGAGAAATGCACTTTGCCCTATCAAAAATATAACTTGGATAATCAAAAATTTCATGAGGACCTCTCGAGTCCAGACCGGTAAATGTGTAAACTATCCAAGGTAGGAAGAATTTGAAATTAATTGAGGCAATGAGAGCTGGGATATTAAAACCATTATTTAAAAAGTATATGATATAAACTTGCAATTAAATACACTGTATGGAAAACAAATGTAATAAAAACTCATCCCTTCCTCATAATTTTACTGCATTTTACTATTACCTGTGTTCTAGGGGTCATTTATAGGCATTGTATCTGGGATGGAATATAATGCTGTGCTGCTTGCTACACATTAAATCTTCCGAGCTCCATGTGCAGTCATGTGAGGTTGGCAGCTTGGAGCAGCCATATAGGAGTATTTATACCATGGAATTTGCCACATGGTACAAATCAGGGCTTTTTTTCTCCAGCCTTTCAGTTGTTTCTAACATTTCCCAGCACCCTAGTACCTAACAGAATAAGAATCTTGCTATTTCCAGGTGTAAATAGATTGGAAAGACCTATTTTAGAGAGCGATTTCCCTGGATACTTTTTGGTTTTTGCTTCCCATCACCCTTTCCCTCCTCATCTTGTATGATCATCCCTTTCTCTGTGGAATTTCCTCTTTCTCATTTCATGTAGTTGGGCCAAAGGGTGGGAGTCCACAGACCCCAGCCTTTCCTTGCCTCGGGTGGGCCCATGAGTTGAGTCTAACCAGTCGTAGTACTTCATAGCATTGGCCATGTCCCTGGCCACTGGGTCAGGCATGAACATCTGAACCAAACTGGGACAGAGTCCTCCTTAAAATGTCATGAATGGATGCTGGCTGGGATAAGGAGTTGCAAACATAGGCTTGAGGTTACCATTGGCCATCTCTCCAACACATGATAATACATGAAGGGAAGCAGGACACTAATGACATTACACAATTTAAAACTTGCTTGAAGCCAGATGCTCTTTGGACTTCCCAGTTACCTAAGCCAATATATTCCCTTTTTCACATGGCCAATAAGCATTTTATCTTGGGTAATTCTGGTAAACACCATATAATGTGACATATTCATGTGGGAAGCATTGTCGATTCTTCTTATGTTACAGTGACAGAGATGCCTGGAAGGGGGTTGAAATTTGGTTTATATTGTTACCAGATCTGTGGACTAACAAGGTGCTCTTTAAAAGAGTTCTTATTGCACTTATCAACCAGAATTCTATGTAATTTATAAGATTGTATGTAAAAGACTAAATATTGTATTAACTTGGCACTTTGAAGTTTGTGAAAGGTAAGGACAATACAACACCAATCACTATATCCCCAGGAATTATCTCAGCATCATATGGAATATAGTAAGAAATTGCTCAGGGAATCTTTGTTGATAGAAGAGCTGTCTCCTGAAAACTGTGCATTCATCTGTACCATGACGATGATTCAGCAGTTTTATGCAATATCCCACGGCTTGCTTTGTGTGAAAGGCATATGGACAACACTGTTTGATGTGTGGCAGAGTAAGCAGATTCAATAAATAAAGACTTTCTATCAGTATGCTGTTTGACCTTGAGAACTGAACTTGTTTCTGTATAAACCAGATTTCCCATTTCTAAGACTCTGGGCTCAAAGGAACCAAGCAAGAGAAATACCCTATCCTGCTTTATAATAAGCTAAAATAAATTAATCCATTGGCTATTTGCAAAGGAATTTAACAGCTAAAACTGAGCTTCTGAGGTTTTAAGAATATTTTTCTAATATAGCTCATCCACTTACAACACCCAACAAGAAAACTTTTGTGAAAACAAGAGCTTTGTCCTCATTTCAGTTGATATCTGTTGGGAGAATACTTGCTTCTCCTTCTACATTTCGATAGGGACAGAGCAGTATTGGGGTGAATACTTCTAGATCTTCTCACTGTCCCTTTATGGATTCTTCCTTATTAGAATAAAAAGAAATCTGTCTGGGAAAAGAAGAATAAGCTGACACACATTGACCATGCTGCCAGGAGAGGCTGAGGCACAGCATCAAAAGCCCAGCAGCATTCCAGCCTCTCTGTTCCGCCACACACTGACTATTGAACAATCAAAATCCTCTGTATGGTTGGCTGAGTAAAATGTGTGCTCTGCAGAAACAGCCCTCCCTACACGTGAGGAACAGGGCCTAGAAGAAGAAGAAAATAAGAGGCCTCGTGCCAACTAAGCCTGAGCTCAACCATCTAATATTTGTTAGGGGTTACCAAGTCAACAAGACTGAAACTCTACTGCAAGGTGCATTTTACTTCATTTTGCTGTGTTCAATTGATTAAGGACCTAGAAATAATGTTACTTCTAAGTAATTAGTACCCTAGGTACCAACATAGGACATTTTGATGAGAAAGTAGCATTTGGATGGCAAAGAACCCCATGGGGAGCCTAGTGTTTTGGAGTGCTTCTTGTGGCTGGTGCTCTCAGGAGTTTGAGTGGTAACTGGCATGATACCACAAGCTTAAATGTTTAAGTATTAATTACAGTGTTGCCTAGTAACTTAAGGCACAGGGCCCAGTCTGCATTTAGAAAGAAATGGCTTCATTTTTGGATTAGTAGGTTTTTCTAGAAACTGAAGTTGAATGAGAAGAAATGTCCTTGAGTGTAGAGAAATTCACTCCTGTATTTGAGAGAGGGTCTTTCTGGGAGTTTATACTAGAGTGGTGGCTTTACTTCTTTAGGGACCATAGGGCAGAAAGTCCCTACTGCATGTTGATAAGGTTGGTCTCAGGGCCATCAGAACCTTAGAAGATAGGCATAAATGGGAAGAAAAATTCTCAAAAAAATTGTTTAAAAAAATTACTTAACCAGACTACAGCTATAAAACATGGGCAGGAGATAATCAAAGTAATGGTATTGTAGTTGTTGTGGCTGCCATTCAGGACTTTGCATTTCTATGCTAAGCTCAAATTCTGTTCAAATTTACCTTCTTTGGACTATAACCAGTTAGAATGAAGATATAATTTCAAGGGAGTAGGCCAAAATGGCTTGAACATAGGCATCAAGAATCATCTCTACCATGTTGTTTCAATTTGATTCTGAATTAATTACCTATGCTTTGAACATGATTGTAACCTTGCCTAGTCAGGAATAAATATATTTTATTATAATGTAGACAAAGAATGGATCTTTCATGTTACAGGGTATATACCAACTATTTGAGTTGTAGTGAAAAATACCAGTGGAGTTATTATATTCCAAAGAAGACATTTTGAAAGCCTGTGTTAGACAATCTATAGAAAATTATTTTTTTCAGACTCAAGGAGAAAGACCACTGCAAAAAGCAAGTTTGAATCTTAAACAGAATCAGACAGAAAAAAATGAGAAGAAAATTACAATTTCCTTCAGTAAAAAGTTGAAGTTTCAGTGGCCCAGGTAGAAAGATAGGATAGAAAAAAAAAGGGGGTAAACCCTTTCCTAGATGTTCCTAGAAAGAAAACTGGGAAAGAGAAGGGCATTTTAGTTGACACTAGATTAAGATTACAGTATTTTCACACTCTGCCCATTTACAGAGTTCTATCTGCATAACTCCTCCCCAGACCTCCTCATCACCAGTCTTTCAGTCCTACTGCTTCTAATTTCCTGACAATACAGACAAATAATTAGCAACCAACATAAATCAGTATAGAACGGAACTTCTGGTCATTTCCCCTTCTAGCTAAAATGAAGAACGAGGTGCATGCACTGATGCAAATTCTGCTCACTGGGATGATTTTCTCCTACTGTCCTTCAGGGTTATCCCATGGCGGGTCTGTAGTGCTACAGTCATCACTTTGGGTATAGCCAGAATATTGTGCAGAATCATCTATAAATAATTCTCAGATGTTTTTGTCCTCCATTCTGGTCATAGGAAACCCCCTATGAGGCCACGGATGAAGACTGAGAGAGAGAGAGAAAGCTATGTAGCAGAAGTAGAGACCACAGGCATTTGGGTTAGTTACTCATGCCCAGTTAATGAGCCCAGTCTCATATAAAACATTTTCATTTAATAATGAAGTGCTACAATCCAAGTAAAACTTCATGGCTTGGTGGGTCAGAAAACATCTTGTTCATGATGGGCAATTCAGGTCTTACAGTAATTTGATAGTCCATGGTCAGCCTCTACTAGTGCCCAGGGGCAAGCCAAGAACTGTTCCCTTCAAGAGAAAAACAGTTATCCATAGAGCACGTCATGCTTTTGCTCCAAATCTTAAAGGTACCACTATAATTCACCTATATATGCTATGTAAAGCTCCTATGGCATCCCTATCTGTTACAGACACTTCAAGTACCATCTGATCTGCTGGGTCATACAACACCCTTGAATTTTTGTGAATTTTTGTGGGATTTTTTGTGAACTTTTATTTCCCGCCCTCTGGCACATGTATCCTTACCAAGATGTTTAGAGCAGTTCCTGCAGCCTGCTCACTAAGTCCTATCAGTATAATATCATAAATGTATTGATATCCTGTGGAAAGGAGAAGTGATCAAGGTCCACGTCCACCAGATTTTGACTTAGGGATAGAAAGTTTATATGGCCTGTAAGTAAGAGAGTGAAAATATATTGCCAGCCCTGCCAGTTGAAAGCAAATTGCTTTGATAGTATTTACTAATAGAATAGGTAAAAAGGGAAAAGCACCAAATCAATATCTGCATACCAGGTGCTCAGGGGATATGTTGATTTGCCCCAGCAATGAAGAAACACCTGGAACAGCAGCTATAATTTGATTAAATTTATGATGAGCAATCATCATTCAAGATCCATCTTCTTCACAAA